>NC_000004.12:84527441-84678956 GCF_000001405.40 Homo sapiens | reverse complement strand
TCCCATTGAGGTGCGGAATTACAGCAGATTGAAACCTGGTAACTTGAAGTCTGGTATCTATTTCTCACTCCTTATATGTGGTGTGAGGGTTGGTGGATTGAGGCAGTGGGGTCTAGCTCTCCCTGGGCCCCACCCTGGATGTGCCCCGTGAGCTGGGCCACTCACACAGAATGCCTCTTTACACAGAAGGCCTCTTCAGTTTCTTCTAGTGTAAAGTGGACTTAAAAATTCTATCCTACGATGGTGTTTGCAATATGCTGGGCATCTTTTAAAGAAAAATACCTCAAACTAGAAACTGTATTTATTCACAACTCATTAAATCACAGAAGCTAATTAAAAATGAATAAATAAAACTGCATTTGCAGGTAACTTTGCCCAGAATAGAGTTAGAGGCAAGGTCCTCAATTGGAGAAATTGGATGCATCTGCTTGCATTGAAAATTTCTCCTTCTCATTAGTTTGTCTCCTTCAACGAGATGTTTCTCCAGCCTGGCCCATGTTAATGTCAAGCTAGGTAGCTTTACTTTCAACCAAGGCAGCAGCTGCCGAGAACTGGAAAAGCTGCTGTAGCTGTATGTTGAGGTACCCTAAGTTTAAGGCCACCATCTTAGAGTAGTTCTCCCCAGTATTGGCTTCTCTCAGTTGAGTTATGTTGTGTCCTCCACTTCTCCATTCCAGGGTACCGATGGGAACGGCAGCTGGTGTTCAGGAGTAAGCTGACTATGCACACAGCCTTTGATCGAAAGGACAATGCACACCCAGCTGAGGTCACTGCCTTGGGCATCTCCAAGTAAGTGTCAGGCTTTTTCCAGCTCCGCTTCCCATCTGAGTCATTTGGTTAGCCAAGGGCCACATACTCCAGCCCAGTCTTTGGGGAAAACAGATTTTATTTGTATTATCGTATGTAGCTCAAAGAGATAAATTTGAAGAAGAACCCTGTTAGTGTGTGGATATTTTTCTTTTCTTTTTCTTTTTTTTTTTTTTTTTTTTTTTTTTGAGACAGGGTCTTGTTCTGTCACTTAGGCTAGAGTCAGGGGCACAATCACAGCTCACTGCAGCCTCAACCTCCCAGGCTCAAGCAGTTCTCCCACCTCTGCCCCTCAAATAACTGGGACTATAGGCGTGCACCATCACACCCGGCTAATTTTTGTATTTTTTATAGAGACGGGGTTTTACCGTGTTGCCCAGGCTGGTCTCAAACTCCTGGCTTCAAGTGATCCGCCCACCTCGGCCTCCCAAAGTACTGGGATTACAGGTGTGAGCCACCATGCCCATACACTGGATTTAAATTCTGAATTTTTTAAAAAGTGAAAAACTGCTTTTTCTGTTCTTCAAAGATACAGCAAGGGTGATCCAAAGAAAATTGAAATGGAAGTGTAAATTTGGGCTCGGTTCAGTTTTTGTCTGTTTACACATACATCTCTGAGTGAATCAAGGGGTCTCTCCAGGACCCTTACCAGCCCCGACCTCAAAACACACATCCACCAAAATCCAGAGAGCCTCAAGAAGGAGATCACAGAAGCCTTCCGTGCAGTGACCTCCTCTGTCGTGTCTCCTGCAGGGATCACAGTAGGATCCTCGTTGGTGACAGTCGAGGCCGAGTTTTCAGCTGGTCTGTGAGTGACCAGCCAGGCCGTTCTGCTGCTGATCACTGGGTGAAGGATGAAGGTGGTGACAGCTGCTCAGGCTGCTCGGTGAGGTTTTCACTCACAGAAAGACGACACCATTGCAGGAACTGTGGTCAGCTCTTCTGCCAGAAGTAAGATAAGATATCTGCTTTTTGAATTTACATTGATTAAGCTCTAAGGTTGTTAATTATGTCCTGCACACAGGTTCTGATTTGCCCTGGCGTCCCCACTACAGTATGCCTTGTTGGTATGAACCAGTCTTCACTTTTTCTGTTCTTCTTTATTACTACAATTAGGAAATTTTTCTGTCATACAAGTCACAAACACCTTGTCATCCATGACACAGAATGCACATATGCTAATATTTCATCGTATTTAATTTAGAGACCTGTATGTGAAATGATTCTATAAACACTATAGATACATTGTAAGTATCCTCTTTGCACCTTTCACCAATCACACCCATTCTCCATGTTTTTATGCTTTCAGGAACATGTGTTGCCTCTGTAAACATTACATCATACTATTTTGGTGTTCTCAGCTTTACTTTTCAGCTTTACGTACTATACTGTTTTTGCCCTTCTGTAACTTTCTTACTCAACATTGTTTTTGAAATCCATTTATATAGATATCTTATTGTAATATATTCATTTTAACTACTGTCGGTTATTTTAATTATATGAATTTATCATCATTATTTCCCTTTTGATGCCCTCTCAGGGTTTTTTTTTTTCTATTTTTATCAGTACTATAAATAATGCTACAATGCACATCCCTATAAATGCCCTTCTAATACACAAGCTAGAATTCCTCTAGAGATGGAATGAAATTGATAGAACACAGACTTATTCTTGATCTTAATTAGATATTGCCAAATTACTCTTCAAAACAGTAGTGCTAGTTAATACTACCTCCACTACCTCCAACAGGCCATGAAGGTTCTCCAAATTCTTAGTCATGCTTGGTACTGCCAGACTTTTTCCACTTTTGCCAATCTGATAGCTAAAAAATAGTGCTTTGTTGTTTTAACTTGCAATGCTAGTGAGACAACATCTTTTCATGTTTGTTGGCTATTTGGGTTTCCTTTTGGGTACTTTGCCCTTTTTTTTTCCTTGAGGAGTTCTTTTATATATTCTGTGCTGTACACCTTTGTTTTTTATATATCTTGCAGATACGTTCTGCCAGTCTGTGGCTTGTGTTTCAACTTTGTATATGTTTTTTCTGTCATCTACAAGTTTTTAAACTGGTTGTAGTCACATGTATTACTCTATGATTTTTGCTTTTTTGTGCCTTAAGAATTCTTTCTCTGTCCTAGGATCACAAAGATAATCTTGTTTATTTTCTTTTAAAGGTTTCAAAGTTTTATTTTTCACATTTAGGTCTTTAATTCATTTGTAATTTATTTTGGGGTATAACATGAGGCGAGGATCTATTTTTCCCCCATATGAAAGGTCAGTGGTCCCATGGCTATAGATTTGGTTGATATCTCTGTCCTACACCTGGGTCCCAGATACACATCCACAGTCGTTACTTTTTCTGCCAGACAACAGAAAGGATTCCATGGACAGTACACTTTAAGGCTTATATTGCCTTACTCCAGAGATGCTTTCATAGAAAGCATATTATTCTCAACTTGTGTAATTATGAGTCCATTCCTGAGGTTTTATAGGCAGCATTGGCTTACTGGTATGGGCATAGTCTTTGGGTTTACACTGACCAAATGCTCACTGTGCTACTTTCTGTTGCCATAATGCCAGCAAGTTACCGAGCCTCTCTGAGCTTTGGTTTCTTTATCTGTAAATGTGGGTAAGAAGACCAGTCCTCTTAGAGCTATTGAGAGAATTAAATGAGATCACATATATGAGTGTTGTAAAGCACCAAGTTCAGAGTCTGGCAAAACAGGTGTTCCATCATTTGATTCCTTAAACCTTTTCTGCTGGGCAGTCTGGTTCAAGATGAGGGACCCAAAATGTTGCAGCCAGCCATTTCCTGTGGGAATTTCTGTGAGGCTGGCAGAGGATTCTGTCTAGTGGCTCTGTGCTTTGAAAGGCCTGCTCTATAAAACCTATAATGGGACCGGGCACAGTGGCTCATGCCTGTAATGCCAGCACTTTGGGAGGCTGAGGTGGGCTGATCACCTGAGGTCAGGAGTTCGAGACCAGCCTGGCCAACATGGCAAAACCCTGTCTGTACTAAAAATACAAAAATTAGCCAGGTGTGGTGGTGAGCTACTCAGGAGGTTGAGGCGAGAGAATCACTTGAACCCAGCAGACAGAGGTTGCAGTGACCCGAGATCACGCCACTGCACTCCATCCAGCCTGAGCAACAGAGCAAGACTCCATCTCAAAAAAATAGATAATAAATTTAAAAACCCATAATGGGTTTTATAGAGCAGGCCTTTCAAAGCACAGAGCCGCTAGACATATATATATATATCTTTTATTTTTATTTTTATTTTTTTTGAGACGGAGTCTCACTCTGTCACCCAGGCTGGAGTGCAGTGGCGTGATCTCGGCTCACTGCAGCCTCCGCCTCCTGGGTTCAAGCGATTCTTCTACCTCAGCTTCCTGAGTAGCTGGGACTACAGGCGTGCACCACCACGCCTGGCTAATTTTTGTATTCTTAGTAGAGACGGGGTTTCACCATATTGGCCAGGCTCGTCTCGAACTCCTGACCTTGTGGTCTGCCCACCTTGGCCTCCCAAAGTGCTGGGATTACAGTCATGAGCCTCCGCACCCAGCCTATATATATATATTTCTTGAGATGGGGTCTTCCTCTATCACCCAGGCTGGAGTACAGTGGCACGATCACAGCTCAGTGCAGCTTTGATCTCCCAGGCTCAAGCAGTCCTCCCACCTCAGCCTTCCAAGTAGCTGAGACTATAGGCAAGAGCCACCACACCTGGCTAATTTTTGTATTTTTTGTAGAGATAGAGTCTCACTATGTTCCCCAGGCTGGTCTCACAGCCGCGGGCTCAAGCAGTACCCCCGCCTCAGCCTCCTAAAGTGCTGGGATTACAGTTTTCAGCCTCCACACCCATCATATTAATCTAGTGATTTGTACTAGCACTCCCGTATGTATGCTGGCACACATCTGTTCTTTGTAGTGTTTAATTTTCAAAATATTGTTTAAATATAGGTAATTCTTTAAATTATCCATTGCTATTAAATGTTGGATGGAAGCTTTATTGGAAACTGACCAAACAGTGATAAGTTCTGATGAAGCAGGCACAGAAGGAAGTGCTTTCCAGAACACACAGCCTGTGGTCTCTATGGCTGAGAGCTGTTGACACTCTTGAGGGATCTGAGAGGTCCAGTGACAGTCCTTTAAACCCATAAGGTTATAGTACTTAATTTACTCTCTGGACATTTTTACTGGTAGATTAATGGACTAAACATAAATCTCCATTTCAAGGCCAGGCACAGTGGCTCACGTCTGTAGTCTCAGCACTTTGGGAGGTCAAGGCAGGAAGATCACTTGAGGCCAGGAGTTTGAGGACAGCCTGGACAATGTAATGAGACCCCATCCCTACCAAAAAAAAATTTTTTTTTTCATTTCCATTTCAATCTTCTGAAAATCCAAGCCTAAAGTGATTTAATACCACATCCTGAGTCACACCTGGCTTTATTCCAGGAATAGGAACTCTGAATACTTCTTAAAGAATTTGAACATCTCTTAAGAATAGTCTCCTTCAAACAGTTCTAGCAAGATAAATAGGAAATGAGGGTGTTGGGACTGGAAAAGGAAAGCCAGTCTAACTGTTTAAGAAATGATTAAAGAGTGGATCAATCAAAATGTTTAAAAGCACAATGGAACTTGATAGTGATCAAACTCATATTTCTTTTGGAAATTAGAAGACTCACTAATGAGTCATTAGTAATTCTCTTGAAAATAGATACTCATTAGTGAGTCTTCTAATTTCCGCTAGTGAGTTTTTCTGATTTCCAAGAGAAATATGTCAAGCTCCAGGTAAAGACATTGACATACCTCCCAAGCTTATAGGCCATGAGAATTAGTCTACACAGGTAGAATGGCCTTACATCACTGTTCAGACACCTTGGCCTCATTGTATAGGAAAATCTTAACTCTGTTTTTTTGTTTTCGTTTTTTTAATTCTTGTCAGTCAAAGAAATAGCTTCCCTGGTTTAATACTGCTTTTCTTCATAGACTGAAACAAATAATACAGCTTTCCTTTTAGTCCTTGTTCAGCCACACAACACAAACCAGTATGGCCTTTGGCATTTTACTGCAAGCTTTCCATTCGATTATTAATGTTTCCGGTGCCCATGATCAAGCATGGAGAAGACCTATAATTAATTGACTTTTCCTTTCCTTTAGGTGCAGTCGCTTTCAATCTGAAATCAAACGCTTGAAAATCTCATCCCCGGTGCGTGTTTGTCAGAACTGTTATTATAACTTACAGCATGAGAGAGGTTCAGAAGATGGGCCTCGAAATTGTTGAAGATTCAACAAGCTGAGTGGAGACCATGGTCTGTAGACCCCTTCCCGATTCTCCTGTCCCAGCTTGGAAGGCATTGAAAACAGTCTCCGTTTACACATCTCTTCATACCACGTGTTTGAAGTGTTAAAATTCAAAGGGATCATTGAATAAAACGGGTGTAGAGTACAGGAATGGGGCAGACGCGATTCAGGTGAACAGCACAAGAAGAATATGAGGTGGTTCCTAGGAGCAACACTTTCGACCTCCAGTTCTCCCTGATGACAGTAGCTGTCTCCAAGAGAAAAATCCTCACTTATTAACTCTCTTTTCTTGCATCTCATTTTTATAGAGCTACTCATCCTTATTTGGAAAAACCAACAACAAAAAAGGCTTTTAGAAAATGGTTGTAAATCTGACTTCTTTGCAAGTAACTATGTATATTGTAAATAGATATAAAAGGCCTTTTTTCTAAATAAGGACTTAACTGCCTGTAACATGAAACTTCAAACTAAACCACTAACTCAATGAACTACTTATGGTTTGTCTGACATCCCTCACTTACCAATTAATTATAAATATGTTTTTTTAAATCCCCAAAGACATTATCTGTGGTCTTTTTTTCCTTTCAAGCTCAGCCTGTGTGCCTGATGTCATTTCTTTCAAGTTGCCCACAGTATCTCCACTTAAACTAGGCTAGTAACCAAAATAATGTGGACCTTCTTTAGGAAACAGTGTGGGAGAATAGGAGTCCAGCCGTAAGATAAACTGGAAATATTTGGGCGTCTTGTACCTGGCTACGCACCACCTCAGTGTTGTTCCTACATAAACAGGGCCCCTTTTAAACTTGTATGTGGACTGCTGTTTGGTCAAAGAATACCTTCTTAGCATTGCAGAAAGGTGGTCAGATGACCAGTGTAGTGCAGGAAACAGCCCTGTCTCAACTAATGGAAATATATTTGCATGTAACCCAAAATTAGCTTATCTTGCATAGAACATAATAAGTATGTGTCTTTGGTGACACTAATGTTCTACTATAGCTTATTTTCAAACAAGGGGTAAAAAAAGGAAAGAAAGAAGTGTACAGAATTAACATATAAACTTTGTTGTAAAACTGAATCATGTCAGAACTGCTTAAAATTAACCTTTACCATTTAATGTCATCTACCTGAAAACAGTGAGATTTATACTGTATCAATGTCTATTTTTTTGTTTTTGCTATGAATATAATTACAGTATTTTAATATTTAGTTATTTAATTTGTTCTACTAGTTGGATACAGAACACACAAATCCAGGGGGATTAAAGCTGGAAGGGGCTAAGAGATTAGTTTACAGAGAAAAGGCTTGGTGGTGGGATTTTTTTAAATGTGTGTTATGTACATATATATATATATATAATATATATTAAAAATGAAACAATTAATCTAGATTTTAACATTTTCAGAAACTTAGTGATAACATTATGAACAATTCTAAAAGCCCTGTGATTTGAAAAATATAGAATCATTAATGGCCCAAGATAGGCCTTCACACCTTCACAGGTGCGAAAGGAAAGGCCTTCACACCCTCACAGAGGCATCATGCAAAGGACAGCGGCTTTGGCTTTTCCAATTTTCCATCTTTAGGCCCTGGTGAGAGGCACACTTATGCACTAAAATGCACATATATGCACATGCATTCAAAAATAGGCATTTGGTACAATGGTGATCTTGTACCTGATGGGCTGAAACCAGCTTAAGAACAAATTTGTTCTTCCTGATATGATAACTAGGTCTCCAAGAGAAAATAGAAAGGCTGCTTTAGTGCCTTACGCTTACTAAATTTAAATCTTTATTTACCTGGGTTTGAGCCTACAGTCTATTTATGATTACATATCAAAATTGATTAAAACACTTCCATTTCTAAAAGTTCAAATATACTTGTTAATAAAAGGATTATCGGCATTAATACTTTAATTTAAAGAAAAGTTGTGTTCTGTTTTCCTTTCTGTGTCTTACTCCCCCCACACTCTCCCTCCCCCATCACCATCTTCAATTCTAATAAATAATGCTGATGTTCAACAGTTGCAGAAATTGTGCTATTATGTAACTGTGGGCCTTGCCCCTGTCTGGCCCTCTAGATGATTTGTAGCAGTGTTATTCTACACTTTTTAAAAGAAGCGTCCTCCTTTTGTCCATGAATCATGTTTACCCCATACCCAGTGGCAGAGGTGTTCTTTAAAGACTTGAATATATGAATGTGTGTGTGTAGTTACTTAAAGGTTATTCCTCTTTGTAATAGGAAACTATATGGGATGAACACTTTTAAACTTTCCGACACAACTTCCATTACTAACTTTCTAACAGAACTTCCATAACTAGAAGGTGGAAACCAAAACCCTCATGGTAGTATTTCCTCTGGCAGCTGGTGCTGTGGGCAACTGTTTTGTTCAATCGGGTTTCTTTTCTTTTTGCCTCTAATGCAGAAATCAACAGAATCACTCACACATACAAGTACACTCACATACATAAACTAATTATTTCTCTGGATATCTTTCTGTGTTCCATGTAAATTTATTTACCAACATCTATTGTCAACATGTACATCTACCTTAGTATGGTCTGCATTCTTTTTCTGAGAGTACCTCATAGGGCTCCTGCCTGATCTTTGTAGTTTGTTCATTCATCCATCCACCTGTTCATTTGTTCATCCATGTATTCTAACATTTCTATGTAGTGTGCAACTCTAATGTCATGCTTTTGAAGAAGAGAATAGCTGCCCATAGCAGCCATCCGTCTGGATAATAGCAAAACACTCTAGATAAGTTATTTTGCACTTTCTTATGTATAAAGTTGGTAGAAACTTATTTTTGCTTTGTATCATTTAAATACATTTTGTTTTGGTAAATGAACTGTGTATAAAATATTTATGCCGTTAAAACTGTTTTTAGAAAGTATTTTTAATTTCAGCAAGTTTGGTTACTTGTTGCATGACTCTTAACACAGCTGACTTTTTGTGTCAGTGCAATGTATATTTTTTGTCCTGTTATTAACTTGTAAGCCCTAGTAATGGCCAATTATTTGTACAGCAACAGAAGTAAATTGAAGATACTGGCTAAGACTGGATTGATTGTGGACTTTTATACTATATTGCAGAAACCAATATCTGTTTCTTGGTGGTTATGTAAAAGACCTGAAGAATTACTATCTAGTGTGCAGTCTGTGATATCTGAATGTTCATTGTATATTTGTCTCTGATGCAAAAAGGTAGAGTAACACAATTACAATACATGATTAAATGCAATAGTCCAGGTACTTAAGTAATTTTTTTTTCATTTCAAATAAATACCTATTTACCACCAAAAGAAAGAAAAAGAAAAGTTGTTAAGTCAGTTATTCAGGGAAGGAAAAACAGAGATCTAATAACTCCCTAACTTTATGTAGTTCTTTTCTAGTTGTAAATACTTTCAGAAGCACCTGCATAAGATTGCAGAAGTATTGGCTGTTAAGGTTCCAGTTCCAGTTCTAGTTTGACTCATCCTTAAAAATCAGGCTTTCTGCAGTCTGAGCTTCTCAATTGTGCTGGATTCCCAGGGCTAATGAGTGTATGTGGATGGCAGTAAGGAGAAGCAAGCCCCTTCTGGGAGACGTGACCCTCAAATTTGACTGGACCTGTGGAAAAAGACATGTCTGCATGGTTTTGGCTCTTTTTTCCTGAGCTTTATTCTCCAGCCAAAAAGTAAGCAACAGTGTGTGTATATATATATATGTGTGTGTCTCTTGCACCCATACTATAGTCACATAAGGAATATTCCAGTGTCCTGCCCCTCACCTGGAACTACAGCAGCCGCTGTTAGCAGCTGGTCTTTCCAGTTCAGCCTTCAGTCTGAGAGTGTTAGAACTTACAATCCATTGTTCTTGTTATGAGCTTGTTTGGGTTTAAAATAGCCTTTCTGTAAAGAAGAGTTTTTAAGTTTATTTAGGCTGTTTTGATGATTTCACTTTCCCTCTTTCTAAAGATATTAAATTCATTTTAAGCTTGAACAGCAGAGCCCCAAATTTGAGTATGTTTTGCTTATTACAAATTTTACCTTACTGCAACTCTACTTGAGTGGCAGAAGATGAAGGAATGCCAAGAACTAAAACAACAGCAATTTCTTTAAAAAATTAAAAAAAAAAATGGTAAAAGAAACCTTAGAGCAGCTCCCATGTTATTAATGCTTTATTACTTATAGTTCTGGTGACGGGTTGCAGTCAAGGATGGACACTGCAGAATTCTCAGATGCAGAAATTCAGAGTTTAAAAGAACAAACATGCAAATGATTTTCAGTGAGTCCCTTGTCTGCCATTTGCTTCTCATCTTCAACAGAATTTTCCCTCCACGCCTCACTTTTGACCATTTGATGGACTTGGCCCAGCACTTGGTTAGTCTCTTTGCTTTATGAATATTCTCATTTCCTCCCACCTATTATAAAGCTCTTTTTTTTTCTTTTACTTTTGCTAGAGACAGCACCAAGCCAAGCTACCACAATAGCATGGTGTTTTGGAGATCCCTGATTTGGAATTACCACTGAGGCTTCAGTTCTAACCAGCTTGGGAATTTAGGAAGCCTCTTGTTTTAGCGCTCACTCTCTCCATAGGGTTTTCCTACATCAGTAGTTGCCTGTGAGGATGGGAATGGTCTAAGTGCTTCTTTAAACTTTTTGGTCTGAGAACTCTTTGATCCTTAAAAATTTTCAA
The DNA here is from genome assembly GCF_000001405.40 of Homo sapiens. Lineage (NCBI taxonomy): Eukaryota > Metazoa > Chordata > Mammalia > Primates > Hominidae > Homo > Homo sapiens. The sequence continues at coordinate 84,668,171 of NC_000004.12, read as the reverse complement.
GGAACCGAACAGCTTTTGCTTATTTGGTTTATATCTATCAGTAGTCATTGTATTAGAAATTAAAACTGAGATTTAAAATATATATGTCAACTCATTTAAAATAACAATGATAAGACCATGATGTATTAACATAATTACATATTTCTATAAAAAGTCTTTTACAGCCGAGTGCAGTGGCTCACACCTGTAATCCCAGCACTTTGGGAGGCAGAGGCGGGCGAATCACCTGAGGTCAGGAGTTCAAGACGAGTCTGGCCAACGTGGCGAAACCCCGTCTCTACTAAAAAATTAGCCAGGCATGGTGGCATGCGCCTGTAATCCCAGCTACCTGGGAGGCCGAGGCAGGAGAATGACTTGAACCTGGGAGGTGGAGCTTGCAGTGAGCCGAGATCACACCGCTGCACTCCAGCCTGGGCGACAGAGTGAGACTCCGTCTCCAAAAAAAAAAAAAAATCTTTTCCAAACAAAAAAAACAGGTTTTTTTGGCAAATTTACAACTTTTTGCAAATCTCTGTAATGTCTGGCTCAATAGAAGACAGGTGGATTCTCAAGTTTGCTTCTACATTCCATCTGTTGTGATACTTTGTTTTGACTGGATTTATGGAAAAAGACAAATCTGCATGGTTTTGGCTCGTTTCCTGAACTTTGTTCTCCAGCTATCATTTTGTGAAAAGTATGTCTATCGCACCCCTACTATAGTCACATCAGGAATATACTTTGTTTTGGTTGAAGCATGAAGAAAATCCAACCTCACACATGTATTGGTTGAAAAGGGGGTGAATATTTTTAATTTTTATGAGCTCATAAGTGTATATATTTATGAGGTACATGTTATATTTCAATACAGGCATACAATGTATAATAGTCACATCAAAGTAAATAGAGTGTTTACCACCTCAAGCATTTATTGTCCCTTTCTGTTAGGAACACTCCAATTCCACCCTTTTGGATATTTTAAAATATGCAGTAAATTGTTGACTGGAGTCACCCTGTTGTGCTATCAAATACTAGATCTTATTCATTCTATGTGACTATATTTTTATACCCACTAAACATCTCCACTCTCCACCCTCCTCCCTGCTACTCTTTGTAGCCTCTCGTAACCATCATTCTACTCTGTCTCCATGAGTTCGCTTGTTTTAATCTTTAGCTCCCACAAATGAGTGAGCACATGCAAAATGTCTTTTTTTTTAATTTGCCTGGCTTATTTCACTTAACATAATGTCCTCTAATTCCATCGATATTGTTGCAAATGATAGTATCTCATTTTTATGGCTGAATAGTATTCCATTGTGTATAAGTGCCACATTTTCTATATCCATTCATCTGTTGATAGACTCAGGTTGAGTTGAAATCTTGGCTATTGCAAATAGTACTGCAGTAAACATGGGAGGACAGATATCTCTTTGATATACTGACTTCCTCTCTTTTGTGTATATTCCTAGTAGTGGGATTGCTGGGTCATATGGCAGTTCTATTTTTAGTTTTTTTAGGAACCTCCATACTGTTCTCCATAGTGGTTGTACTAATTTACATTCCCACCAACGGTGTAGGAGGGTTCCCCTTTCTCTGTCCTCACCAGCATTTGTTCTTGCCTGTCTCTTGGATAACAGCCATTCTAACTGGGGTGAGAGGATATCTCCTTTTGGTTTTGGTTTGCATTTCTCTGATGATAAATGATGTTGAGCATTTTTTCATATACCTGTTTGATATTTGTATGTCTTCTTTTGAGAAATGCCTATTCACATCATTTGCCCATTTTTTAATAGGATTATTAGATTTTTTTTCCTATTGAGTTGTTTGAGCTTCTTATATATTCTGATTATTAACCACCCTTGTCAGATGAGTGGTTTGCAAATATTTTCTTCTATTCTGTGGGTCGCCTCTTCACTTGTTGATCATTTCCTTTGCTGTACAGAAGCTTTTTAACTTGATGTGATCCCATTTGTCCATTTTTACTTTGGTTATCTGTGCTTTTGAGGTCTTAGCCAAAAAATCTTGCCCTGACCAAAGTCCTGGAGAGTTTCCCCAATGGTTTCTTCTAGCAGCTTCATGGTGTGTCCGGAATTGGTAGGTTCTTGGTCTCACTGACTTCAAGAATGAAGCCGTGGAGCCTCGCAGTGAGTGTTACAGTTCTTAAAGGTGGCGTGTCCGGAGTTTGTTTCTTCTGGTGTTCAGATGTGTTCGGAGTTTCTTCCTTCTGGTGGGTTCGTGGTCTCGCTGGCTCAGGAGTGAAGCTGCAGACCTTCGCGGTGAGTGTTACAGCTCTTAAGGCGGTGTGTCTGGAGTTGTTTGTTCCTCCCAGTGGGCTCGTGGTCTCACTGGCTTCAGGAGTGAAGCTGCAGACGTTTGCGGTGAGTGTTACAGCTCATAAAGGCAGTGTGGACCCAAAGAGTGAGCAGTAGCAAGATTTATTGCAAAGAGCAAAAGAACAAAGCTTCCACAGTGTGGAAGGGGACCCGAGCGAGTTGCCACTGTTGGCTCCGGCAGCCTTCTTTTATTTTCTTATCTGGCCCCACCCACATCCTGCTGATTGGTACAGCCGAGTGGTCTGTTTTGACAGGGCGCTGATTGGTGCGTTTACAATCCCTGAGCTAGACACAAAGGTTCTCCAGTCCCCACCAGATTAGCTAGATACAGAGTGTGGACACAAAGGTTCTCCAAGGCCCCACCAGAGTAGCTAGATGCAGAGTGTCAATTGGTGCATTCACAAACCCTGAGCTAGACACAGGGTGCTGATTGGTGTATTTGCAAACCTTGAGTTAGATACAGAGTGCCGATTGTTGTATTTACTATCCCTGAGCTAGACATAAAGGTTCTCCAAGGCCCCACCAGAGTAGCTAGATACAGAGTGTCGATTGGTGCATTCACAAACCCTGAGCTAGACACAGGGTGCTGATTGGTGTGTTTACAAACCTTGAGCTAGATGCAGAGTGCTGATTGGTGAGCTAGAGGTAAAGACAATCCCTGAGCTAGACCTAAAGGTTCTCCACATCCCCACCAGACTCAGGAGCCCAGCTGGCTTCACCCAGTGGATCCTGCACGGGGGCTGCAGGTGGAGCTGCCTGCCAGTCCCTAGCCTTGCACCCGCACTCCTGCACTCCTCAGCCCTTGGATGGTCGATGGGACTGGGCGCTGTGGAGCAGGGGGTGGCGCTCATCGGGGAGGCTCGGGCTGCACGGGAGCCCACGGAGGGGGTGGGAGGCTCAGGCATAGTGGGCTGCAGGTCCCGAGCCCTGCCCCATGGTAAGGCAGCTAAGACTGGGTGAGAAATGGAGCGCAGTGCCCGTGGGCCGGCACTGCTGGGGGACCCAGTACACCCTCCGCAGCCGCTGGCCCGGGTGCTAAGCCCCTCATTGCCCAGGCCGGCAGGGCCGCCAAGCCCACGCCCACCTGGAACTCCAGCTGGCCTGCAAGCGCGGCGTGCAGCCCCGGTTCCCTCTCGCGCCTCTCCCTCCACACCTCCCTGCAAGCTGAGGGAGCCGGCTCTGGCCTTGGCCAGCCCAGAAAGGGGCTCCCACAGTGCAGTGGTGGGCTGAAGGGCTCCTCAAGTGCCGCCAAAGTGGGAGCCCAGGCAGAGGAGGCGCGGAGAGCGAGCGAGGGCTGTGAGGACTGCCAGCACGCTGTCACCTCTCAATAGTTTTAGGTCTTAGAATTAAATCTTTAATCCATTTTGATTTGATGTTTGTATATAGTGGCAGATAGGGAGTCTAGTTTCATTCTTCCACATATGGATATCTAGTTTCCACAACAGGATTTATTGAATGGACTGTCCTTTCCTCAATATATGTTCTCGGCAGTTTTGTCAAAAATGAGTTCACTGTAGAGGTATGGTTTTATTTCTGGATTCTTTATTCTGTTCCATTGAGCTATGTGTCTGTTTTTATGCCAGTCCAAGGCTGTTTGGATTACTATAGCTCTGTAGTTGCAATTTGAAGTCAGGTAATGTGATTCCTCCAGTTTTGTTCCTTTTGTTCACAGTGGCTTTGGCTATTCTGGGTATTTGGTGATTCCACATAAATTTTAGGATTATTTTTTCTATTTCTGTGAAGAATGTCATTGATATTTTGATAGGAATTGCATTGAATCTGTAGATTGCTTTGGGTAGTATGGACATTTTAACAACACTGATTCTTCCATTCCATGAACATGGAATATATTTCCATTTTTTGTGTGTCCTCTTTCGTTTCTTTCATCAGTCTTTTGCAGTTTTCATTGTAGAGATCTTTCATTTCTTTGGTTAAGTTTATTCCTAAGTATATTACTTTATTTGTAGCTATTGTAAATGGGATTACTTTCTTGATTTCTTTTTCATATTGTTCACTGTTGGCATATAGAAATGCTCCTGATTTTTGCATGTTGATTTTGTATCCTGCAATTTTACTGAATTTATCAGTTCTAATTTTTTTTAGTGGAGTCTTTAGGTTTTCCCAAATATAAGAGCATACCATCTGCAAACAAGAATAATTTGACTACTTCTGTTCCAATTTAGATGCCTTTTCTTTCTCTTTTCTGATTGCTCCAGCTAGGACACTATGTTGAGTAACAGTGAAAGTGGGCATCCTTGTCTTGTTCCAGATCTTAAAGGAAAGGCTTTCAGTTTTTCGAGCTGGAATATTATAATTGCTTTTTCAGATCATTGCTTCTTAAGATAATAGTTTTAAGTTTTTTAATAGTTTAAGTTTCTTAAAGATTAATTACTATGTGGACTCTGAAATGATGCCAATGAACTTTTAATATTATGACACTAAAATCCATGGGTCTATCTTGCACTTTGAATTTATTTTTTTACACATCCATAATTTTACAGCATCTTGCATTGATCATTTAGAAAATTATTTTTAAATCCTGATTCAAGCACCAGAGACAGAAACAGTATATGTAGAACTTCTAAATGTTGACATATTTCATTATATAATATCAAAAAAATCACATTATCATATACATTAAAATACCACCAGCAGTATCAGAAAATTTTAAGTCATAGTGACAGACACAAATTCTACAACAAATTCTTATTTTTGCTTAAAACCTAAAATTTTATCATTGGCAATAAATTCTGTCTGCTGTTTTCTTTGAAGGGATAGGCTCACTTTGTTAATATTTGAGAACATACCATCCATAGAACCATAGCTTGTCAGTTGTTCTTTCAATAAAAATAGTATTCCATGAGAAAGGCAGAGAATTCAGCTCACAATTCAGTCACACAAGTGCTTCTCTTTGAGACAAATGTTGTACTTCAGTATGCAGGTGCTTTATGGGTACTTCTCATCTTGTGTCACTCTACTTAAGGACCAAGATTTAATAAAAGTAATAATTTTTATTGCTTCTCCAAGGTCATTCTTAAGTCAAAGAGGCACTTGTGTTTTTACTGCAAGTGTTTGGTTATGAAGAATATGATCACTACTACTAGTAGTTTGGTGCCACCATACTAAGGTTCCAACAGTTCTACCCACCACTGCTTTTGTACCTCAATAAAAATATCAATGCAGCAAAAAGGGTAGTGTTTTAGTAGTACTATGAAAACCTTGCAGACCCTCTAAAAGGGTCTCCGGACTCCTGGGGGCCTGGAAACCCCTTGAGAACCACTGGTCCAAGAAGAAGACATGAGATGAGGCTACCTAAATTGTAAGGTAGCATGCATGCAATCTCATTCAGTAATGATATTCCTAATCACTAATCCAGTGCTTTCAACTGGGCTCCCATTGAAACCTCCTGAGAGCAAGACCAGGCCCTATCACACTGAAGTGTTTTGGCGGCTACCCCCAGCTACTGGGATACCACCTCTACAGCTCAAAAGCATGTTGGGGTTTCAAATAAGGACTTTTAAAATCACATTATTATTTCTATTCAAGACTCTAAAATTTTGATAATATAAAAGAAACTGCTAATACGAATCTTTTAATATTAGATACAGTTCTAACTAGTATAATAAACTATCAGGAGAGTCAGTCTAGGGGCTAAGCTCCCATTCTACCACTTACTGTGTGCTCTCAGGTGAGTGACTTAGCCACTCTAGGTCTGAGTTTCCTTATATGGAAAATTTGTATTAGGATACCTGCCCCCAGAGAATTGTTATAAGGATTCGATGTGGTAATATATATAGGAAGGGTAGTGCCTGACAAATGTGTTGTCAGTACATTCCAGTGTTAACTTGGAAATACGAACATAAAAGGGATGATGCACTGAAACATCTGAATGCCAAATGAACGCCAATGGCAGGGAGTTCACCTTCAGTCAGATATACAGGAGGCAGAATGCTACAGTGGGAAGGGCTATTCAAAGTCATCAAGTCCAAAGTAGACTTTTTAAGTAGAATTCCCAGCTCTGCTCCTAAGCCTCTGACACCCAGGCCAAGGCTCTTTACAAACAACTCCCAGTTAGTATTTCCCAATTTTCTTTTAGGTGACTACAGTGCAAGTGTACTTTGGATGTTATTTCAATATTATCCGTGCATAATTATGCCCTTCTTTATCAAGAAGATAAAGCATCCGAACTTCAACCTTGGCCTTCAGCTATCATGCTTCCTGCTCAACAAAGGCAAAGAAGAGTTGCAAGCTGCATTCCAGTGCAGAGGACAGAGTTAAAGAAAAACAACTTGTTTAGGGTCTTGCCCTCAGGCCCTACTACAAACTTCAAACAAAAGCTATATCCTAAAAATGTGATTTCCCTGCATAAAGTTTCCCTTCATAAAAGGAAGCTGCTCCTTTGCAAACTGATTCTCAAGAAATCCACCATGGAGCAAAGGTCAACTAAGCAGTCTTTGGTTATAAACTTGAGGATCCTTTGAGTCTGCTGCTGGCCGATTCTGCCAAGAAGAAAAAAGAAACAAAGTTCTCCTAAAGCAATGTTATCAAGTGTGCTATGGTTCAAGTTCAAATCTGCGAATGTGGATGTCTTTTTCCTTCTAAGGTAGCAATCTGTGTTTGTGCTAATACATACTTAGCTGGGCCTTGAAGATGATTTTTTAAAATGATGTAAGTACCCTCTCCAAGAACTTTCCGGCCTATAAATGAGAGGCTTGCCTTCACACAGGTATCTGTAATTAGATTTTCAGCAAGTGTATTCCATTCCTTACTGTTTCTAATTCAGTAATACTTTCTTCCACAATATGTTTTCTTTGCTCTGCGCTCCAGATTTTCATATCATTGTTATCTCATCTTTGTCCTTTTTTGAATTACTGTTGTATGATACCAGGCCTTCCTAAAGGTTCTCCCCTATTCCCCCTTGTTCACTCCACTGCCCCCACCCCCTGACCCGCCACTGCATTCCTGGTCTTTTGCAAACTTTTGTCCTGCCTTCTTGCCTGCCTGCCTTTTGCATAGGTGTCATGCCATTGATTTTCTTCTTCCTCTTTTAAATGTGGACTCTTGTCCAGCCTTTATGTTTGCTGTGATATACTGTGAGTGAATTCTTTTAACATCGTTCCCCCCTTAGTTTGAGGACTGGGTGTTGTGATTGGGTTTTGTGACACAGCAGTCACTGTGCGTGTGCTGCAATTGCCCATTCTGTGTCAAGCCCTGCAGGGCTCCTCACCTTCTTACCCCTCACACCTTCTGCTCCATCCTGGGCTAGGGCCTCCTCTGCTGCAGGGCCATTCCCTGGCTCTGCTCTCTACCTGCAAGGATCCTACTCCAGGTGTGCTCCTCTTCCTCCCTCACCTTCTCCAAGTCTTTCCTCAAATGTCACCTTGTAAGTGAGGCCTCCCTTGACCAACCTACAGTATTTACAATTGCAATTTCCCTCCCTCTGACTTCCTCATAATCACCCTTCTCTGAAACCCTCCACAATGTGCTATGCTACTATTTATTTGTGTCTCCCTAGCAAAGTGTAAGCTACATGACCACGGATACTTTTGTCTGTTTCACTCACTGCTGCATGGGGTTCTAAAACTGTATCTGACAGAGTGGCTGCTCAATAGATGTGTTGAATGAATAAGAGGCAGCCCTTGGCTTGCCCTCAACTGTAATGCAATCTGTTTTTGTAAACATCTTACATCATCTTTCTTGTGTTGAATTGGAGCCTTCATATACCACATGCCTGAACACATGTGCTTGAAATGCTCACTGGGGTTTGGTTTTTATTATTCTTTATTTTTTGAGACAGGGTCTCTCTCACCCAGGCTGGAGTGCAGTGGCGCTATCCACGGCTCACTGCAGCCTTGACCTCTCAGGCTTAAGCCATCCTCCTGCCTCATCCTCCTGAGTTGCTGGAACCACATTCACCATGCCCAGTTAATTTTTTTTTTTTAATAGATGAGGTCTCATTATATTGCCCAAGCTGGTCTCAAACTCCTGGACTCAAGCGATCCTCCCACCTTGGCCTCCCAAAGTGCTGGAATTACTGGTGTGAGCCACCACACCCAGCTAGGGTTTGGTCTTAAACATTGAAAGTTCCTCATTCCTTGAAGTTACCTTGAGCAAGGCACCCTCTGCCTATGGAATCACCCACCCAGCACCCCAGGATGGAGGCCACCGGGTCTTCGTAGCAATGCCAGAGAAGAAAGCCTCTTCCCCTCCTTTTCCTAGTCCAGCCTAACTGGGGAGGATGAAATATTCCAGGGCAGCCCCCACCCCTCAACCCTGCCTAGCAGACAGATCCAGGAGGGGCTACTGGACCTATTGTGGGGTTCCCATTTGGGGTCAGCTGGCAGCCCTTCCCTGTCCCATACCCAGTCCTAGAATACTCCCCCATCCCATCCCTGCCCCATCATTACAGATTCTCCAATCAGATATTTTAACAACTTTGATACATAATTAACTTACTGTAAAAATCATCAAGTCTACAATTCAGTATGTTTTGGTATATTCAGAGTTTTGCCACCTGATATGGTTTGGCTGTGTTCCCACCCAAATCTCAACTTGAATTGTATCTCCCAAAATTCCCACATGTTGTGGGAGGGACCCAGCGGGGAGTAATTGAATCATGGGGGCTGGTCTTTCCCATGCTCTTCTCATGAGTGATTAAGTCCCACGAGATCTGATGGGTTTATCAGGGGTTTCTGCTTTTGCTTCTCTCTCATTTTCTCATGCAGCCACCATGTAAGAAGTGCCTTTCACCTCCTGCCATGATTCTGAGGCCTCCCCAGCCATGTGGAACTGTAGGTCCAATTAAACCTCTTTTTCTTTTCAGTCTCCAGTATGCCTTTATCAGCAGCAGAAAACAGACTAATACAGTAAATTGGTACCAGTAGAGTGGGGCGTTGCTGAAAAGATACCCAAAATGTGGAAACTATTTTGGAACTAGGTAAGAGACAGAGGTTGAAACAATTTGGAGGGCTCAGAAGAAGCAGGAGAATGTGGGAAAGTTTGGAACTTCCTGAAGACTTGTTCAGTGGCTTAGCCCAAAATGCTGATAGTGATATGGACAATAAAGTCCAGGCTGAGGTGTTCTCAGACAGAGATGAGGAATGTGTTGGGAAGTGGAGTAAAGGTGACTCTTGTTAAGTTTTAGCAAAGAGACTGGCAGCATTCTGCCCCTGCCCTAGAGATCTGTGAAACTTTGAACTTGAGAAAGATGATTTAGGGTATCTGGCAGAAATTTCTAGGCAGCAAAGCATTCAAAACATGACTTGGGTACTGTTAAAGGCATTCAGCTTTATAAGGGAAGCAGAGCATAAAAGTTTGGAAAAATTGCAGCCAGACTATGGAATAGAAAAGAAAAACCCATTTTCTGGGGAGAAATTCAAGCCGGCTACAGAAATTTGCATAAGTAGCAGGAGCCTAATGTTAATCCCCAAGACAATGGGGTAAATGGCTACAGGCCATGTCAGAGACCTTCACAGCAACCCCTCCCATCACAGGCCTGGAGGCCTAGGAGGAAAAAGTGGTTCCATGGGCCAGACCCAGGGTCCCCATGCTGTATGCAGCCCAGGGACTTGGTGCCCTCTGTCCAAGCTGCTCCAGCTGTGGCTGAAAGGGCCAATGTATACCTCAGGCTGTGGCTTCAGAGGGTGGAAGCTCCAAGCCTTGGCAGGTTCCATATGGTGTTGAGCCTGTGGGTGCGCAGAAGTCAAGAATTGAGTTTGGGAACCTCTGCCCAGATTTCAGAAGATGTATGGAAACACCTGGATGTGCCAGCAAAAGTTTGCTGCAGGGGCGGGGTCCTCATGGAGAACCTCTGCTAGGGCAGTGCAGAAGGAAAATGTGGGATCAGAGCCCCCACACAGAGTCCCTACTGGGGCACTGCCCAGTGGAGCTGTGAGAAGAGGGCCACTGTCCTCCAGACCCCAGAATGGTAGATCCACTAACCAACAGTTTGCACCATGCACCTGGAAAAGCCACAGACACTCAACACTAGCCTGTGAAAGCAGCCAGGTGGGAGGCTGTACCCTGCAAAGCCACAGGGGCAGGGCTGCCCAAGACCATGGGAACCCACCTCTTGAATCAGCATGACCTGGATGTGAGACATGGAGTCAAAGGAGATCATTTTGGAGCTTTAAAACTTGACTGCCAGCCAGGTGTGGTGGCTCATGCCTGCAATCCCAGCACTTTGGGAGGCTGAAGCAGATGGATCACCTGAGGTCAGGTGTTTGAGACCAGCCTGGTCAACATGGTGAAACTTCGTCTCTACTAAAAATACAAAAAATTAGCTGGATGTGGTGGCAGGCAGCTGTAATCCCAGCTACTTGGGAGCCTGAGGCAGGAGAACTGCTTGAGCCTGGGAGGCAGAGGTTGCAGTGAGCCAAGATCACGCCATTGCATTCCAGCCTAGGCAACAAGAGCGAAACTCTGTCTCAAAAACAAAAACAAAAACAAAAACTTGACTGCCCTGCTGGATTTCAGACTTGCAAGGGCCCTGTAACCCCTTTGTTTTGGCCAATTTCTTCCATTTGGAATGGCTGTATTTACCCAATACCTGTACCCCCACTGTATCTAGGAAGTAACTAACTTGCTATTGATTTTACAAGCTCATAGGCAGAAGGAACTTGCCTTGTCTCAAATGAGACTTTGGACTGTTGACTTTTAGGTTAATGGTGAAATGAGTTAAGACTTTGGGGACTGTTGGGAAGGCATGATTGGTTTTGTAACGTGAGGACATGAGATTTGGAGGGGCCAGTGGTGGAATGATATGGTTTGGCTATGTCCTCACCCAAATCTCAACTTGAATTGTATCTCCCAGAATTCCCATGTGTTGTGGGAGGGACCCAGGGGAGGTAACTGAATCATGGGGGCTGCTCTTTCCCATGCTATTCTCGTGATTGATAGTAATTCTCACGAAATCTGATGGGTTTATCATCTGGGGTTTCCACTTTTGCTTCTCTCTCATTTTCTCTTGCCACCACCATGTAAGAAGTGCCTTTCACCTTCCGCCATGATTCTGAGGCCTCTCCAGCCAGGTGGAACTGTAAGTCCAATTAAACCTCTTTTTCTTCACAGTCTCGGGTATGTCTTTATCAGCAGCATGAAAACAGACTAATACATCACCATTGTCACAATCTAATTTCAGAACATTTTCATCACCCAAAAAGAAACCCCTTACCATTAGCAGTTACTCCCTAGTCTCCTCCTGCCCCCAGCCTCTACCAACCACTGACCCACTTTGTCTATAGAGTTGCCCAATCTGAACATTTTATCTAATGGAATCATGCAATATGTGGTCTTTTGTGAATGGTTTATTTCACTTTTAACCTTTTTGAGCTTCATCTGTATCACAACATTATCAGTGTTTCATGCCTCTTGATTTCCAAGTAGTAGCCCATTGTATGGATAGACTACATCTTATTCATCCATTCAGCCATGGTGTTTAGGCTGTTTCCACTTTTTTACTATTGTGAATCATGATGTTGTAAACATTCATGTACAGGTTTTCGTACGGATGAATGTTTACATTTCTCTTAGATATATACCAAGAAATGGGCTTGCTGGATCATATGGTAACTCCGTTTTACATTTTGAGCAGCTCTCAGACGGTTTTCCAAAGCCATTGCATCATTTTACATTCAAACCAGCAATGTATCCAATCAGTTTTTATTCTCAGGGAACAGCACCAACCAAACTGTATGCCCTCTGTGCCCCCTTCAAGCGCTCATTAAAATGTAAGTCACTCTTATTTGGGGACAGGTCACTTTCCAATACTTTCAAGAAGGTATCTGGTGAGAAAGTAGTGACAGTGACAGCCTCTTCTAGCAGCCTCAGAATGCGCCGGGGTCTCTGATCCCACCTGGACTTTTCCTACCACCTTGCCTCACTCCCTGCTAGCTCCAGCCCAGGTTAGAGCTCCAACCCTTCCTGAGGTGACCACAATCACAGCACCTTCTACAATCTCTCCAGCTAATCTGCACATTCTTTTGAGGGAACAGGATATATTTAGTTATTTCAAATACTAAAATGATGTCTCATTCAAATATGGTTCTATATCCATGTTTAGTGGGCATATGATATCCATTATTTAGTGAATGATTGAGGTTCTGGGGGTGGTGGTAATTAATACTTTTAGCAGTATATATTACATTCAAAGAAAACGTACCCTCTTGAAATTCCTGAAAGCTGGATCTTAGAACTGAGTCGCCTTTTCAGGGTGCCGACAAGTGCTATGTATTGTGAAAAAGATGGAGGGGGCCACGATCAGTAGGAAGCCCTCTTCCTGCCTTTGCTTTCCTGGGGGCCAGAGCTCAATGGGGCAAGGGAGCAAGCTGCCCCTTCCTTCAGTGAGGGCTCTCACTTAGAACTTCCATAAGTTATTTTGGCCTCGCTTTTATGTTTTAATATTAGTGTATACACTTGGTCACTACTCCTCAGCTGAGGAGCAGTGATGTCATCATATTTGGATTTGGATTAAGATCTGGTCCTTCTCTTCCTGCTATCAAGAAGAACTGTCAAGGTGGGACTTCCAGCTATGTCTGAGTAGGGGTGGCAAATCCTCTCCCCAAAAAGCATCTATTAAAAGCTGGACAAAATGTATGTTTCTGCACTGTAGAAATTGAACAAAGGTATACACTATGAAAAAGGTTTATGCTTGAAAAACTGGAGCACAGTGGGTGTTTGTGGAATCCTTTCCTAGGGCTGCACATGTGCCCCCACCAGCTCAGCTGGGTTAGAGCTTTAGCCAGGGCAGGACAGACTCTGAGGACTCCGATGGTCCAATGGGACTTGCTCAATTTGCAACAGTGGACAATACCCATACCCAGAGAAGTCAGTGGAAGTGACAATCTCAGAGGATGAGAGGGGAGGGCTAATGGTACCACAAGCTGGGAACTGTGTGGTTGGGCCAGGCGCTTTCCTAGATGAGGCCACACGTGGGTGCAGAGGAGACCTGGGCAACACTTCCATTACTGGTTGCCTCTGAGGCTGGACATAGGAGCCTCAAGAGACAAAGTTAATTAATTGGACATCATCAAATTTAAAAGATGTTAAACTTCAAAAGACACCATTAAGAAAAGACAAGCCAAAGCCTGAGAGAAAATATTTGCAAGTTATATATCTGATAAGGTTTCTTACAACTCAATAAGAAGGAAAATAATGCCATTTAAAAATGGGCAAAAGAGGCTGGATGCAGTGGCTCATGCCTGTAATCCCAGCACTTTGGGAGGTCAAAGCAGGTGGATCACTTGAGCCCAGGAGTTTGAGACCACCCTGGCCAACATGGCAAAACCGCATCTCTACAAAAAAATACAAAAATTAGCTGGGCATGGTGGTGGGCACCTGTAATCCTAGCTACTCAGGAGGCTGAAGTAAGAGGATCTCTTGAGCCTGGGAGGCAGAATTTGCAGTGAGCCCAGAACACGCCACTGCACTCCGGCTTTGGTGACAGAGCAAGACCCTGTCTCAAATTAATTAAAAATGGGCAAAAAGATATGAATATTTTTATCAAAGAAGACATACAGAAGAGAAATAAAGCACATGAAAAGACACACCACCACTACCCATTAGAGAAATGCAAATGAAAATCACAATGAAATACCTCTATCCATCAGCTAGAATGTCTATAATTTAAAAGACAGATGATGGCAGGTTTGGGTAAAGATGCAGATAAACTACAACCGTTGCATATCACAAGCAAGAATGTAAGATTGTATAGCTACTTTAGAAAACAGTTTGTTTTTCTTTCTTTCTTTCTTTTTTTTTTTTTGAGCCAGAGTCTTGCTCTGTCACCCAGGCTGGGGTGCAATGGCGCAATCTCGGCTCACTGCAACTTCTGTCTCCCAGGTTCTAGCGATTCTCCTGCCTCAGCCTCCCAAGTAGCTGGGATTACAGGAGCGTGCCACCATGCCCAGATAATTTTTGTATTTTTAGTAGAGACGGGGTCTCGCCATGTTTGCCAGGCTGGTCTTGAACTCCTGACCCCAGGTGATTCACCTGCCTCGGCCTCCCGAAGTGCTGGGATTACAGGCCTGAGCCACTGTGCCCAGCAAGTTATCTCTTTAAAAGAAACTTACCATACAATCTAGCAATTCCTCCCCTAGCCATCTACCTGAGAGAAATGAAGAAATTTCTGCACAAAGACATGTATGTCTACACACATTCATAGTAACATTCTTCATAAGGGCCTCGAACTGGAAATAACCCAAATGTTCATCAACTGATGAGTTAGCAAAACATATTAAACAGGAGAGAAGTGCTAATACATGCAAAAACATGCCAGGTGCAAAACATACTGTATAATTCAATTTATGTGAAATATCACACAGACAGGAAGCAGACCAGTGGTTGCCAAAGGCTGAGGCTTGGAGTGGGGATTAACTGCAAATGGGCACCAGGAAACTTTTTGGAAGATCATGGAAGTGCTCTCAAACTGGATTTGGTGGTGGTGGCACAATGTTATGGTATGTAAATTATATCTCAGTAAAGCTGTTGGGGGAAAAAACAAATGGAATTTCTGACAATTCATATGTATCTGCCTTACCTGGACTAGCTGAAGCCTCTGTTTCCTTTTCTTCACAACTTCTTGAGATTTACTAAAACCAATGAAAAATATATTTAATAGATTACTCAAGAATGTTCCCCAAACTCATCACTTGCCTAGGCCTCATCTGAAGCTTGAATTGTCGAACAGAAAATCATCCAGGCCAGGTCATGCTTGTAATCTCAGCACTTTGGGAGGCAGAGGCAGGCAGCTCATTTGCGGTCAAAAATTGGAGACCAGCCTGGGCAATGCGGTGAAACCCCATCTCTACCAAAAAAAAAAAAAAAATTAGCCAAGCATGGTGGCATGTGCCTGTAGTCCCAGCTACTCAGGAGGCTAAAAGGTGGGATGATCGCTTGAGCCTGGGAGGTTGAGACTGCAATGAGCCGTGATCATGCCACTGCACGCCAGCCTGGGGCAACAGAGCGAGACCCTGTCTCAAGAAAGAAAAAGAAAAGAAAAAAGAAAATTATCTGGACACATTAAACTCAAGTCAGATGCATAGCAGAAAGTCTGAGAGTTAAACTCCAAGTCCTATACCCTGTTCATGTTACAAGTTGAGAGAGAGCAGTTTGAAATTTCACTTCCACTAGAGGACAATGCGATCCTTAGGGTGCACTCTCCCTCAATAATTCTTTCGCTCTCTTGAGTGACAAGGCTCTTGCTTCACCAGCCCTATCTTTTGTACACAGTAGAGAACAGGCTGGATTCTCTCCATTCCTTCTGGAAACTCACTTTGCCCATCATCAGGAAATGTTCCATTCATCAACTTTTACTAAATCATTATTGATGCCTATCTGATGATTTAAGAAGGTTCTCCGTTTCTGTACAGGAAAACGATGAGATTAAGGTAGGAATGGCTTCTGATTTTGGTTAAATTATCTAGACCTGATTTTTCTTTGCAGCTACTAAAGATTCCCAGATCTTTACAGCCCCTCTTCAAGGAATGAATTTTAAACTTTGTAAGTTTCAAGAGGGGGGCAGAAAGATCTGGCTATGGACTATGGTCAGGAAAGACAGGTCTTATGGAGGTCAGACGGTGGTCACCTGTGTTCCCACACACCTGGTTTATGTATCTGTCATCACTCTGATCAATATCCACTTCAAATGACATTACTTCTGTACCTGTCTGACCTGAAGACTAGGCAGAAAACTACTAGTTCTAAGGTTTTTCTTCATGCGAGAACAAAGCACAGTGCTGGGTCAGGTAGACATTTCGGGTTTGCTGAAGTGGATCAACGGTTTGTCTATCATTCATGGAACACTTCCGTTACCCACCACCTAAAGCAGACATGGCCAAAGCGGTGGTTAGTTTTCTGCTCAGTCCTATAACCTGTCGTTTCCCACTGCAGACAGGCAATGGAAGAGGAGCAGACAGGAAGGAGGGAAGGAAACTTAAGAATTACTAATCAGCTACTTAATGCTGGACAATATGAGTTTTCACTGAATCCTTAAAACAACCCTATTGGCTAGGAATAATGAGGCCCACCTTAGAACTCTGCAAAATAAAAGGTCTGGGGAAGGGGACAGGAGATGCCCTAGAGACAAGAGGCAATGTGTACAGCTGGGTCTTTAGACCAAGCTCCAAGCTTGTGCATTTCAGAAGCTGGAGGGCCTACAGAGAGCAGGCATCATGCCAGACACTGGGTATGCAGCGGCCAACCCAAACAGACTTCATCTGGCCTCTGCATAGCTTAAAGCTCTAGTAAGGGGCACACATCATTCAGAGATTCACAAAAATACACAGGTAATTACAAACTGTGCTAATACCATAAAAGTTCAGTACTCTTTGTATTAAGAGGACATTGCCTCTCAACAAATACAGATGTTTGGTAATCACCAGAACTTATTTTATCCCCAGCCCTGAAGATTTCACTGTAGGTGCTGGTGATGGAATAGACACGATATAATACTTACATATACCCATCATTATTTTGTAAACACTGGTTGAATATTTCTTCTCCAATGAGAAAATGGCACAACAAAGTCAAAATATGATTTGTTTCAGTTTTATTTTCCTGTCTCAGTTTCAGTAAAAGATTCAGAGAACTGATTGACACACATCATAAGCTATCACCCATATACCCTAAATATACACTGTTTATGCTTTTTCTTTTTCACGGAACAAGGTGACACTATCTTTGTTCAAACCAAAGTGAAAAGGAAGAGATACAATAATTTTAAAAAGAGGGGTGTGTGTGGTCTTTCACTCTCAGATAGTGAATGTACGTCACCACAACAAGGAAAAAGCGCTGAGGAAGAATGTGCATCCCACAGGTCAGAGAGTCAAGCAGGAAGTACCAGTAGAGCACCTCCAAATATAGCAAATTTGGAACAACTAGGCATTACTGTGAAAGAACTTCCTAGTTTTTCATTTGTCTGCCACCACATTGCTACATTGGAATTTAAGCCCTCTTCACAGTGCAAATATCAAAATGAGCCAAGTCAGGGTTTTATGGCAATCTTTTGCTAAAATATATTCTATTTTAATATACATGCTATAAAAGTATGCTAAAAAGGTCAATCGAGAGCTCCATTAAAATTAATAATTTGCTTTTTTACATATAGGATAATGTACATTCAATTCTAAAAGTATATTTGAGAAAAGCTATTACTGTGATCCCAAATATTTCTAGCTTCCTATTTTGTTTATAATAATATTGATTTTATAACACACATATTCAGTAATGCTTTCTTATAATTCTGGATTTCAATGCCTCACCAATTATTTTAAATACAAATGTGGGGGGATCTGTGTATCTCAAGGAGTTCTTACTCATGCAAACTACTGAGTTTTTAATGTAAGTTCTTATAAAATTTTCATTTTATTCTTTAAACTTTGGTAGCCTAAATTTTTTTTATGACCAACATTTGAGGCTGTAATGGGACAAATAAAAACATGAGATGTTGAAAATTAAACTTGTAGGTGGCCTGATTTTAAATGCGATCACTGCCTCCTATAATAACATTTCCAGTATCAATTTTAGATTTGTATGGATAGTGTGAGATACACTGGCTGAACACATGCAGTGATGATGAATCAATGGAGTATATGCTGGACCATAAAATGGACTCTTGGTACCGAGTGCACCTATGTCTAATCATGTGTGCATGTGAGGAGGTGCTGGCTGACTGCATCAGTGGAACCCAGGTATAACGGCAATCTTTTGTTTTAGGTATAGTAGACGGAAATATAAAATAATGGAAAGTTTTTGCTGATTTAAACAAAAATATTTACTCTTTTCATTAGCAAAACATTATTTAAAATATATCTATTTCTCCCCTCTGAACATTTAACTAGGAACACTGGGCAATTTTTGAAGGTTTAGTGCTGATTGTTTAATACAATAAATATGGCTGTGGAGAGCACACAGCAGCAGTAGCTTACATACGTCCACGGATAAGAAATTTACTCTCATCTGGTTAGTGTCCAGTCCACCAAAGGAAAGGTTTGGCATTCGTGTGCTTTTTTTTCGTGTAGGAATCAATTCTGCTTGATTTTCATTCTTGGAAGAAAAAATAATCAGCTGATATCCTCAAATTTTATGACATGATGCAAAGGAGCAAGGGGACAAAGATGACCTATGGTCAAAAAGCTGGACTGGGATCAGGTCTCCAGGCAGATCTTCCTTCTTGCGAGGTGAGTCTACAAAGGGCTGCACTAGAAGCCAGGAGTGAGGCATTGGGGACACGGGGGTGGGTTGCTCCCACTCGGGCAAGCATCTCCTGCTCTGCTGCAGCCA
Source organism: Homo sapiens (assembly GCF_000001405.40). Lineage (NCBI taxonomy): Eukaryota > Metazoa > Chordata > Mammalia > Primates > Hominidae > Homo > Homo sapiens. The sequence continues at coordinate 84,649,584 of NC_000004.12, read as the reverse complement.
CAACCCCGACTCACTACCCTACAGAACCATGGAAGCCAGTTCACAGGGAAACAGGGAAAAGTGAAGCACATGACGAAGAGATGGCCCAGGCCACAGGTCACCGTTTGAAGCTGCCTCCTGAGCTACTGTCCTCTGTTGAGATAATATGCGGAGGATCCGTACACTGTGTTCTTCACAGCAGAATTCTTCCTTGTTGCTCTTGAAAAGTTTTTGCGAGGTCGTGACCTTCCAAACAATTTTATCAGAAGTAGTCTGATGCCTGCTCTTTCTAACAAACCAATCATGGCAAAAATTTCAGGCTCCCTCCCCTGAATTTTGAAACTACCTAAAAGCAGAATGTTTTCCCCTGGCAAATGGTTACTTCTTTGAAAAGTAGACAATCTTTTTTTTTTTTTTTTAAATCCAACTAAGCCCTTTAGAAAGTACTCCAGACTACATGAGGAGGAAGTGCAGGAGAACTGACTTCCTATTGTGCCTTGCATAAAACATTTTGCTAAAATTAAAAGCAGCTCCAAGTGCAAAAGTAAATATTTGTGCAAAAAGGCACACTGCCAGGTGCAATCTTAAAACATCGTCAACTTACTCATTTTATAGTGTTTGACTCTTTTAAATACCAGTCTTTTAAATTATGAAACCTAGCAAGTAAGGGGAAGGAAGTTCACATCAGAAAATACACTTTAGAAAAGGTACAAGACATTTTGCTGGCAATTTGCTACTTATTTCATAACATAGATCAAGTAAGTGTTTGTTAAATATTCACAGTAATTTCAGAGAGAAACATATCTCCAAAACTTCAACCTATTGCATTTTTAACTATTTTTCTGTACAATTTATAAAACATCTGTCAGTGTTTTTCTGAATAATTCCTTCTTGTCAGTCCTTCCCTCTCTGGATCCAGTTATACCTTCAAGGTGGGTTGTAGGATTCCTTTCTCAATGAGATGAGTCTTCAGGGTTTTATATATATTTAACTGCTGTTCAGGTTGAAGCACCAACAACTGCTGTAGCACTTTGCTGGGATTTGGGCCCCTAATGATAAAAGGCAAAGAAGACAAGTTCGTGTTATTTTAATAGGGATAAGTGAAGCACATACCTCCAATTTAAAACAAACCATTCCTTTAAGTGTAGAGTAGGAATCTTTACAGAATTAAAATAGCTCTTGATAATAGCTCACTTTAATGTGCAATGTTAGTGTCAAGGGTTACAGCAGAGAGGGAGAAAGAATGCACAAACACAAAACACAAGAGCAATGTAAGTCAATTGAAGGGGTGCAGATCTAAGTTCTACAAAAGCTCTTGAAAGGGCAACCAAAGTTAAAGGTGGGGATAAATGGCAAATCTTGAGATTGAATGAGACACAAAAACTATTCTGTAAGGAAAGGAGCCTGGTGAACATAGGACAAACCAAAAAGAGGGCATGAAAATATAATTGAAATTTTTAACTTCCAAGAAACTTCAGATGATGAAAGGTATTTTGTTGAAAAATATCTCCAGGGAGTTATGAATATTCAGAGTCAGAACACAAAAGTCCTGAGCCTAGCACTGAAGCCCCTTACCAGTGATACAGGTGCCGTGGACTTTGTTCAAAGACAGTCCTAGGTGAACTCCAATATAAAAAACAAAATAAAAGCAGATCTGCTTTAAAATCCAATGGGAAAAAGCAACATACAAGTCATGTATAGAGATGGCATAGAATTCTAAGAAAGACATTTATGTGGGTAAATAATGTATGCCTTACAGTAAAGATTGTTCACATTGAATTATAGAAAGTAGAAATCCCAGCAACAAAGAAATGTTTGCTATTTAGTGTTACCACAATGAGGATGAGCAGAGGAACTATTTACTCTGAAAATCTTTGACTTAACAAATTGCACAAGAGCCCAGATGAGCCATCCCACCAAGGGTCATCTTCATGCACGTGGCTCAACTCATCTGCCAAAAAACTTTCACACTCAGGTCAGGACACTGTTCGCCTTATTTCATTTCTTTAAAAGAGTCAGCAACTTCACAGCATAAACCCCAAGTAGAGACCAACAGAGAAAAGGAAGGCTGCTTTAGCAAGTTCAGCTAAATGCAAAATTGTGTCAGCAGGTGCTCCCAGCTAGCTGCATCCTGGCACTCTCAGTGTCTTCTAACAGTCTAAATAGCTGCTTTCAAATGGTGGACAACATGGCTCAGCATGACACCTCCCTACTGAGAGGACAGCATTTTTTTTTTAAAGAAAGCATATGAGTTAATGCCCTAAAAAGCTGCCATATTCTGAAAACAAAGTTTTAAGGATTTAACCACTAATTACTAATACCCAAATAGATCAATAAATAATATGCAAATAAGTTAAATAGTCCCATTAAAAGGATAAAGATTATCAACTGTCTTATAAATAAAACAGGGAAAAAAATCAGCTATATGCTTACTAGAAAAAAGAAACACATTAAATATAAGGAAAAGGGAATGTTAAAAATAAAAGGAGAGACAAAGAAATAACATGCAAACACTGACCAAAAGAAAGCTGATATTGCTATTTTAATATTCAACACAGTACGCTTTAAGGCAAGCAGTAAAGACAGACATTATATAATGACAAAAGGATCAATTCAATGGAGAGATATGACAATCCTAAATTTGTACATACCTAATACAACCTCAAAATATATAAACCAAAAATTGGTAGAACTACAAATAAAAAAATACATTTACAATCACAATGAGAGACTTTAACAAAGCTCTCTTAGTAACTGATAGAACAAGCGGACCAAACAAACACAAAAACAAATAAACAAAAATCAGTACAGAAGATTTAATTAAACCTCACCTAACTGACACAGACAAAACTACAACCCAAAACTACAGAATACACCTTTGCCCATGGAGCATGTACTAGAATAGATAACATGCTGTACCACAGAATAGATCTCAAAAATTATAAAATACTCAAATCATAGAGTATGTTTTCCGACCACAGTGGAATTAAGGGAGGAAAGTGAAAAAATCTCCATTTGTTTGAAAACTAATGAATATGCTTCTAAATAACCCATGTGTTAAAGAAGATATAATACTGGAAATCAGAAAACATGTAAATAATGAAAATACAAATATCACAACTTGCAGGAAGAGGATAAAGTGATACTTAATAGTCTTCAATGGATAAATTAGATAAGAAGGCTAAAAATCAATAATCTAAGCTTATCTCCAGAATTAAAAAAAGAACAGCATATTGAACATTTAAAAAAGGCAGAGAAATGAAAGATGAGAGGAGAAATCAATGAGGTAAAAAATTTACAGTAGAGAAAATTAACAAAGCCTGGAGTTGATATTTTTGAAAAGATTAATGAAATTGATAAACTCGCTATCAGGACTGTCTCTCAAAAATAGTTAATATAAAAATTCTCACACTACTGTGGTACATATTTAAAATGTGTATTTAGGGATTGCTAAATATGAATTTCCTTCCAAGTACTATGAAGGAAATCCATGTTTTCTACAGCTCAGGTACTATTAATAAGCATTCTGCCTTCTGGGCCCCCAGTAGAGACCACAGAAAATAAAGTTAACATGCAGTTGATGTTAAGCCTTCACACTCACACTGGTATTTCAAGGCAGATCCAAAACATTAAGGTTTAATAACAAGAATAAACCACCCTTTCTAAAATGGCAATATTCATCCACCCATCCACCAGCCAGCCCCTACACACACAGGCATGATCCCCTCGGCCTGCTTTATTTTTCTGTGTGACACTTACAACCATCTAACAAACTATATTTATTTGTTTATTGTCTCTTTCTCATCATTCTTTCTTCAACTTCCAAACAAGTAGCTATGGGGGCAGAGATTTGGTTTGTTTTGTTCTCTGCCATATTTGTCCCTAGAACATTCTACAATATGGCAGGCACTCAAGTAATAATTGGTAGACTGGATGCATTTCGTTATCTCCCTTTTTAACTCTTAGTATTCATGATCATTGCAATGCCCACAGTTGAGAAATCAAATCTCCTCAAGTTTCAAATCCTATACCATCCACATTAATTGGGTCTTCAATGTGGTCCAGGACCATGACAAATACTATCTTTTTTTAAGTTGTTCAAATGTAGGTAAAACAATTACAAGTTAACCATCTTGCTCAAGACTCTAATTCCAGGGGCCACCATTCACTTTAATATTGTAGATTACCATTGACGGAAAAAGTTAACTTACTCAAACTAATGTTGATGGAAATGAGAACTCAAAGAAATCATCTAAAAAATGTCTCAAGTGTAAAAGTACCTTATAAAACTTGTGATGTACACATGTACAAAAGTTGCCATCAAATACTGACAATCAAATCTGTCCATTATCCCACCATGTCCAGGAATGGTATTTGCAAAATCCTTTAGAAACAAACAAATATATTAGCAAATTTTCAAAAAATCACCTGCTATAAAATTCCTATCTGTGTCTCTTTGGCGTCATGGACTCACTCTAACGAAAATACATTACTATTGGATTTTTTTCACTAAATAAAAACTTATTAGAACACATCCAGCAGATTAAAACCACATCTTCCAAATACATGCTTCTTTTAGAATGATTTCTGAATTGACCCACAGCATTCATTCATCAAACGTTAATTAAATCTAGCACTTACTTTTTTTCGTTAATAAAACTTTTTCTAAATAAAAATTATCTTAGCTATTACTAATCTAATTTTGTTACAGCCTAGCTTTCTTTTTAACCACAAGCTGTTTGGGGAGCTATTTTAGTGCTGCTAAAAGATGTACAACTGGTTCTAACTTGTTTATCCTAATAGTTCTTACTCTGAAATAAACATTTTACTACTATGATAAACATTTCTTCTTCTTTTTTTAAGTGTTAGAGTAAAAAATAAAATTACAGTGAGCCCATATGGGACACATTAGTCCATTAAATGGCCACACTGAGGGAATGGTAGTAAGCCTCTGCAAACTGACCCTTTACAGGTAGATTCACATGTCTGGGTGCCCAGGAAATGGACATGACTAACTGCTCTTCTAGTTCACTCAGGCACCCTAAAAATATCTAAACTACAACAGCAATAGCTGTTTGGTTTCCAACATGCAAAAAAAACTCACCATTTAACAAAAAATCTTGGATTGGAGACCATTAAAGAAAATACCATTCTAAATATAACATTTTTCTTTTTAAAATAATTACTGAAAAAGTCTTTGGTTAATTTTTGCCAACCCATTTCTCTCTTTCTCTTCCTTACTAGTCAAAGCATAAAAGAGCCACAGTAACTCAATGCCACTCTGCTATTACAGCCTTCGCAAGATACTTATCCTGCACAGCTGTTGCTGTAGTTCTCTGGGGAAGTGTATTGTCTGCCCTAGTAGGTGGTGAGCATCTTTAGAACAGGAACAACATCTTGTATATTTTTGTATACTGCATTGCACCTTACATAGTAGCTTCCCACTGGCAAATGCTCGCTGAGTTCACTTATTCCCTGACCCCGTAGGCCGCGTGTGATCTGGTCCCACCAAACTCTGCGGTCTCATCTCCTACTCTCAACCACAGCCACACTGTTCTTGCTCACCTTCTAACAGGCTAATTAACCTCTTCCACTCCTCTGTACACTCTGGAACTCTCTTCTTAGTTTTCTCTGGAGGAGTTCTTTTCTCAAATCTCTACTTAAGTGCCACCTCCTCAGAAAGGCTTTCCCTGACCACCCCAACTTCCATAGCCACTTTCTAACCCCAGATGGTGCCTCAGCCATGTGAGGGAAGCTGAGATGAAATTGCTGAGATAACATGTCACTTTATGATGATCTAACCTAATACACAGGGATAATTTTAGGTCTCTGGAACAGGGGTCAGAAAAGTATGTCCCACAGATCAGATCCAGGCCACAACCTATTTTTATAAATAAAGTTTTATTAAATCCAGCCATGCCCATTCATTGACATATTGTCCACGGGGGGCTTTCTCACTGTAACAGCAGGGTTCAGGGTTGAGAAGCTTTGATAGAATATATGGTCTGCACATCCTAATAAATGTATTGTTTGCCCTTTACAGAAAGAGTGTGATGACACCTGACTTAGCAGAATGGACAGTTACATAGCCAAAGGTTCTTCTGCATGTCCCTTCAAGTGAGACTGTAGTAAAACACTAAACTTTAGATGATTCACGGCTGGATTCTTGGGTGAGCACTTGAAAGACCAAGATTCTGGGTCTATTCCAACACTAAAGGACACATGCCATGTCTATAAAGGAAGCTGACATGACACTTAAAATGTATTAACATGGTATGACAAACCTAAAAAGAAAGAATACATTCAGATCAACGTGGCAGCATTTCTGTGGGGTCGAAACAAATAGGATATAAAAGTTGTGGCCTAGGGGCTTAATGTAGATCATGAGCGGACCAAATTCCAACTAGGTTACATTCTCTAATTATATTCTCTAATAATATAACAAAGAATCTAAACACACACCTTGATTTTGAAGGCTCTTTTGAATCCACTAGCAAAGAAGCCTCCAAATGGGCCAATTAAAGATGCAAAGGTTGACAGTGCAATGCTGTGGATCTGGAAAGGGTACAAGCTCACTCTTTCCTAAAGAGGAGAAAGAAGGGGAGGAGAGGGGCTAATTTCACTGAAATTGTATTTGAGCATACCACCTGATCTAAGAACCATTGTGTAAATAGTAAGTCAAAGCACGCACCACATTTTTGTTAATTTTTCAAACTTTAAGGATCAAGGAAGAAAAGTCTATTTAAGCCTTCTGTACCATCCTCTACTTAGCCAGCAATTTCCCTTCTCTCTGTAAGAATAATGACAGGCAACTGGCACACTGAAATCTTGCAGCGTGGTAGTCTACCTTCCAGGTTGTCTAGGAACTTTACTTCTTACAAAGAATCAGCTGTGTTATTTTCCAAATTTTTTTAAACTAGTAATGCTTTGTTGCTGTAATTATATAATTTAATATTGTATTTTATTTCACCTTAATTTTATATGATAAAATAAGGGAAAAGTTGGACTTTTCTCTAAAATTAAGATGAATGCTGTGGAAAAACACAAAAATAAGTTGCTTAAAGATTATTATCAAAATGAGCATCAGTGAGACAATCACTAAAGATTTGGGGAGACAATCATAAAGGCTGAGAAGAATTTTGTAGTCAAATTATTTTGCAAATTTGTAGTTCTTGCTCCTTTTTAAATAATCTGAAACTACAATTTATAGACAGTGCAAAATGCACCCATTTTGGTTGAAGAAAGATGTCTGAGGCACCAATTTTTTTTTTTTTTTTTTGAGGCAGAGTTTCACTCTTGTTGCCCAGGCTAGAGTGCAATGGTGCAATCTCGGCTCACCGCAACCTCCGCCTCCCAGGTTCAAGTGATTCTCCTGCCTCAGCTTCCCAAAGTAGCTGGAATTACAGGTGTATGCCACCACGACTGGCTAATTTTTTATGTTTAGTAGACATGGGTTTCACCTTTTGGTCAGGCTGGTCTGGAACTCCTGGCATCAGGTGATCCACCTGCCTTGGCCTCCCAAAGTGTTGGGATTACAGGCATAAGCCAATGTGCCCGGCTGAGACATCCATTTTTTGACCTGTTCTCAAAGCAATAAATAGCCTTGCTCCTAATCAAACACTAGCAGTATAAAAAGTTTTATAGCAGGTAACAGATGGCTTGGACATTGAAAAAGTTCTTGGAAACCATGTACTGAGCACTCAGAGAGAAATAATTTGTTAAGCTACTCCTCAAAAATTATGGATTTTATGTAAAATGATTCAGATACAAAGCTGTACATGTGTGCACACAAAGATACAGACATACATGCTATTATTTGATTCCTCACTTTAACCAGCCACTCACCAGACCTGATGACACAGATCAGGAGGGTTCCACTGGAGGGCATGTCAACATCCTCTAGTGTAAGGCCTCCAAGATACCTTTCAAGGAAGGCACTGTATTTGGAAGGAAAACTGATTTGTAGAAGCAGCAACTTTCTGTCCATAATAAATGTCCTCTAAAAATCAAGGACTCGGTAAACTGGTGAATTTTAAGTTTTAAATTGTGTCAACTGATGTCAGTGATATGAGAAACACATTCTAAACCATTTGATCCATTTGATTTGTAACCCGTTCTCATCCATTTGATTTAAGCTAACACTAAAACCACTGGTATATCAAAGAATTAAAAATTCTACAGAAATCAGTTTCTTGTACAAATCTGAATCCCACTTTTAAAGAAAGCTTAATTAATCTTCAGGCCAGGCACAATGGCTCATGCTTGTAATCCCAGCACCTTGGGAAGCCGAAGCAGGCGGATCACTTGAGACCAGGAGTTTGAGACCAGATTGGCCAACATAGCAACACCCGTCTCTACTTAAAATACAAAATTTAGCGAGATGTGGTGGCGAGCGCCTGTAATCCCAGCTACTCAGGAGGCTGAGGCCTAAGAATCACTTGAGCAAAGGTTGCAGTAAGTTGAGATTACGCCACTACACTCCAGCCTGGGCAACAGAGGGAAACTCTGTCTCAAAACAACAATAAATTAATTAAATAAATAAATAAATAATAAAGGAAGCTTAATCTTCAGAGTGGAAGATCTCTAACCATGTTTATCTTGAACTTTTACTGTACCTGTCTCAAGACTGCCTTTAGAAAGGGTGGAAGTGAGTAAGTCTGAAGCTGGAAAAGTTCTGAGGGCTCACATTCTGTCACGAAGGAGTTTACATCACTTCGGTATTCCACTGGGCAGACAAAGTACTGGTATTTGGATAACACATAGGCAGCCTGATATTAAAAACAAAACAAAACAAAACAAAAAACAAAGCAAAAGTTCATAACACATTGACTAAACATATATCTTTTAAGTTATACATCAGAAAGGCCAGAGATAGAATGCCAGAATTTCTTTGTCTTAATATTTTGCTATGTATTTTCAAAGTTAAATGGTCATAATTATCCTAGTAAAAGACTTAAAAGACCTTTAGAAAAAAAAAGTTTTTTTGAAATCAATAAGATTGTAATCTCTGCATAATCACAATTATACGGTACAGGAGAATAAAGAACTGAAGTATACTGCACACAAGCTTCTATTAATTTCATCAGTTAATAATTAACCAGTAATTCAAAATTACAATAAAATAGTACAAAATAGTACAGGTTAAAAACACCATTGTTCTTAGCCAACCCAGAAAACTTTGACTAAATTATTCTTTCCCTGGCCACACCATTGCAATTTTTAAAACTAGCTGTCCACAGCCTTGGAAATAAGATACATAAAATAAGATATCCTGTTATAAATTTAAATTGCTAGACAACAGCTTATTCTCCTTTTCTTGCAGCCATTCACCCTATTATTCTGCTCGAGAATGAGTAATAGAAATTCAAGACACTAGGAATGAATATAAACTGATTTTGCTTCCAAACAACCAGTTTATTTTATATATATAAAATATATATTATATATATTACATATTATTATATATATTATATATATATAATTTCATATAGATGTGGAATTTCCTTCCTCATTATTTTGTCATGCATTACATGCTTATGGGGTAGCTCCTACTTTTCTTCCAATGATATGGCTATTCCTGTGGTATTTTCAAGTTAGTCTTTGATAATAACAAATTCTTACACTATTTAGCTTCATAATGTTTAATTATTCTCGCTTTGTAATGTAAAAACATTGGATGAGATTGGATCCTTTTGCATTCTTCTATCTGTCCATTATTATCTCATCAATATTCTACCACAAAAACACTGGAATAATTTTATCACATTTTATTAAAATTTTCATTGCAAATGAACTAAATTTATAAATTAAATAGAGGAATTCTGGTGGTTTCCAGGATCATGGCATATTTCCATTTATTTGTATATTCACTCTCTCCAGGCTTCATGTTGTTACTAGGTACTCTAGATTTGGATACAGAATGTAACCACAACTGTCAGAAACTAGGAAAAGTAAAGCTTCCTGACAGTACTTTTTTGTACATTTATCTTATATCCAGCTATGGTACTATACTCTCATTCTCACTAGACACCTTTTAATAAAAATCTAAATCCTATAACTGTAAACTAATTTGTAAAACATGAAAAATAGCTATTTAACATGCTAAAAGCAAACATTAATAGTTTATAGTTAGACTGTTTCTGCAAGTTGGGCCCACAACAGTAACCACCCACTGAGCCAAGTGGCCACCATGTGTTTAAGAAGGCAGAGCTTTTCAATAGTATTTGCATCCTCTGCTATTACACAAGGCCACCACCTGTCCCAGTACTTGTGCCCCGCCTAAGGCAGAATAGCTGTTAGAAACTACCAAACACAACAGCACAACAGTAAGTCAGCAAGTCAGCAAGACAGCATGGATGGCCATTAGAATTACCTGGGGGTGTTAACTGGCCTGGGATAAGGCTGAGACATAGATTTTGTTTAAGCTTCTCAGGTGATTCTATATGTAGCCAGGATAAGGGCTGCTGAGGTACAGAACTGGTTCTTTTCAGTAGGTTTCAATAAATATATTATTAGCATTTTGTGGTTTAATTTTTCTAGGTTTAAAATTAGACCAGTAAGCTTGGTATCATATTTCGAAATGTATACAAAATAAAAATCTTAGTAATACTCACAATGAATCCAAACACAACTGTGGAAAAGAAACCACCAATGAATCCTTCCCAAGTCTTTTTAGGAGACAACTAAAAAAGGGCAAATAAAATTAAAAAGCTTTACTGCACTCACAAAACTCACAATATATATATATATATATATATAAACTATTTCCTCAATAACTTGTACATCTCTCCTTACTTTTTCTCTTATTGGAATAGTTCAAAACCCTTTTTCCTTTTCTCTGATCTTGATTTACTAGTGAAAATCTCTCTAATAATATTTAAACACATAGTAGGCCCTCAAATATTTGAAATGCTGTGAATATGTGTTTGTTCATGTTAAATGGTCTAAATTTGTTCTGTCTCTCAAAAGAGTATAAACTCTATACTAAAATAACTGTCCCATGACTCTTATGCTAATATAAAACCTGATAATAGTTGGTGTAAGTTCTTGGAATAAGAATGAGACGTATTCATTCCAAGTACACACAGTCAGTATTGACCTGCTATTGGCCAAAAATAGAATCAGTACAACAAAACATGGACATTTTAGCACATATAATTTTCACATATTCCTAATATGCTATATACACACAGACTTCCTTCTGATATGGCAAAATACTCCAGAGCCCCAGATACTGTATTTGCTCAAGTATTGACATATCCTCTCTTTTTTCACAATCTATGTCCATTTCCAAGAAGAAAGGAACATGCTGCACTTCAAAGAAGAGATATTGTTTGTGTTGGATTCAGGCTATTGCTGCCCAGTCAATGGACCATTCATGGAAAGAAATCTGGAAAAAAATCTAGAAGTTAGTGGTGTTGGGGCAGGAGGAAAAGATTCAGGAGCAAAAAGTGAAAGTTGTTGCTCAGGGGAGATAAAGACTGTGATGTGTGGGAGGATTTGGTCATCAGGTCATTAATGAGGGACAGAAACCAAATATCAGAATAAAGTCTCTGAAGTATTAAAATGGGTTATGGGTTAACCTATAGGAGCTCTTCATAGACTTCTTGTCCTGATATTCATAAAGCCCCAAACCAAAACAGTTGGCAGAAATGGTTTCTTGACAAATCTGATAACAATTCTGCCACAGAGAAGGGACAGACACACCTTCTCCTAGGGTAATTCACTATCACTGCCATGAAGTAGGAGCAGACTCAAATTCAAAAGTGCCTGCTGATTATTGTAAAGATAGCTTATCAAATTAAATTGATGCATATCATATCGATTTAGGGGTTAACTGTTCAATTATCTAAGTATATTATACAATTAATCCAGCCTGATAAATTCACTAGAAGGCTGTGTTCAAAATCAGTTGCTAATATTCTTCCACAGCTATAACAGCCTTTTTGAAGGCTTCTGATATGGTTTGGATCTGTGTCTCCACCCAAATGTCACGTCCACTTGTAATCCTCAGTGTCGGAGGTGGGGCCTGGTGGGAAGTGACTGGGTCAGGGAGGGGGTTTCTAATGGTTAAGCACCATCCCCCTATTGCTGTCCCATGAGTTCTCATGATATCTGGTTGTTGAAAAGTCTGTGGCACCTCCTCACTCTCCCTCTTCCTCCTGCTCTGACCATATAAGATGTGCCTGCTTCCCCTTCCGCCAAGATCATAAGTTTCCTGAGGCCTCCCCAGCCATGCTTCCTGTACAGCTTGCAGAACCATAAGCCAATTAAAGCTCTGGCATTTCTTTATAGCAGTGTGAGAATGAACTAATACAGCTTCCCAAGCCGAAAACTTCTCAGTCTGGGTAGAACTCTTGAATACGTAAATCATGTATTCAAGCTTTAGAAACTCTGGAGCAGCTTTAGAAACGTTTTAAAAATATACAGCTTGCTTACCAGTATCCTTATACAGCTCAGCCCAACACTCTCTGTGTGCTGATGCTTTCAGCAGGTGCTCTCTGTGAGCTCCTCCCCAAGAGGGGAAGAGTTTACAGAGGTTTTTGGAAGAACAGGCAGTCCACAAATTCCTCTGGTAATACTAAACTACCCTCATACCACTCTGAACAAACAGAAGGCTTTATATCTGAACAATTGTCTCAGTCCTTCCAAAACTGCATTCATATAACAATATCAAAACAGCCAGGTAATAATATGTCTGTGAGAACATTATTAAAAACTTTGCCCAATAATGTGAAATGTGTGAATCTTATCTGAAACTCCAACATGAAAAGCTCTTTTAGGCCGGGTGTGGTGGCTCACGCCTGTAATCCCAGCACTTTCAGAGGCCGAGGTAGGTAGATCATTCGAGGTCAGGAGTTCTAGACCAGCCTGGCCAACATGGTGAAACCCTGTCTCTACTAAAAATACTAAAATTAACCAGGCATGGTGGCAGCCGCCTGTAATCCCAGATACTTGGGAGGCTGAGGCAGGAGAATCACTTGAACCCAGGAGGCGGAGGTTGCAGTGAACCCAGATTGCGCCACTGCACTACAGACTGGGTGACAGGGCGAGACTTTGTCTCCAAAAACGAATAAAAACTAAACAAAAATAAAGAAGAGCTCTTTTAGAAGAAATCAGTTCTAGAAAATGATTTGATTTCCATGAAGAATTAGTTTATTTCTTCTCCCAAATGAGAACTATGTAATTTAGTTCATTTCCTTCTTTACCATTGCCCATAAATAGAACCAATTCTATAGCAAAACAACATGGTCTACTCATGTGTATTTTCCTTTCCCTTTCATTATTACTTGTATTTTATTAGTATTTTATTGTAGGGCCCCAAAATCTTCTTTTGGTATGAGTTTGGATATGAAAAGTCACACAAATGGATATGAGGATGTGAAGGTGTATTATATAATCTCTTCTTTGAGAAAGTTTGGTAAAGGAGGGGACAGGTAAGGCGACAGGTTGAAGGGAGAGGAGAGTCAAGGAAAAGGCTTGTGTATAGGCTTGCTGGAAAGGAGGATAAAGAAGAACTGCACCAATGGCCGAGAGAAAAAACCACAGAGCCCAGGGGCGGTGGCTCACGCCTTTAATCCCAGTACTTTGGGAGGCTGAAATGGGCAGACTGCTTGAGCCTAGGAGTTTGGGACAAGCCTGAACAACATGGCAAGACTCTGTCTCTACCAAAAATACAAAAATTAGCCGGGTGTGGTGGCATGCACCTGAAGCCCCAGCTACTCGGGAGGCTGAGGTGGGAAGATTGCTAGAGCCTGGGAGGTGGAAGCTGCAGTGAGCCATGGTAGCACCACTGTACTCCAGCCTGGGTGGCAAAGCAAGACCCCATCTTCAAAAAAAAAAAGGAAAGAAAAGAAACCACATAAAGATAAAATGAAGATGAAAAGGGAGGGAGGGAGGGAGGGAGGGAAGGAGGGAAGGAAGGAAGGAAGGAAGGAAGGAAGGAAGGAAGGAAGGAAGGAAGGAAGGAAGGAAGGAAGGCAGGCAGGCAGGCAGGCAGGCAGGCAGGCAGGCAGGCAGGCAGGCAGGCAGACTGATGGAGTCATGCCCTTCCTGAGGAGCCAACAGAAGAGCTGATGAAGAACCCAGATGGAAGTACTGAGAAATATGGTTTGCTGCTTCTGCACCATGCAGCTAAGGAAAATCAAAGCACCTCAAAAATAAAAAATGCACAACAGCACAGTTGTTGGAAATGTTCTCCAGTGGCTAATCTTTAAGGTTACATAGTGGCTTGCTTATAAAATTTTTCCATTACCTTAATTAATGGAGTTCTCCCAAAAAAAAATCCAAAAAGGTAAGCAGTTATGTCATTGCAGATAACACTTGATATTGGAACAAGGAACCTGTTTTTAAAAAAAAAAAAAAAAGTCAGCAGAAAAAAGTTCACCTGAGTAAGTGGCAGATATTCGGAAAGGTTATGATTCATAATGAACCATCAGAATAACCCTTTGGATTGCACTGCAGCCTACCCAGAACATAACACTTGCCAAAACAGTAGAAATGATAAATATCAACCAAATTTGCCCACTTACCAATTTAAACAGAGCAAAATCTAAAAATAAACTAGCATGCTAGGAAAATATTAAATTATTGATTTCTACAGTTATGGATGTTTTCATTTTAGTTTTATGAGGAACATGTTACAATAAAAAATAAAAGGCAGACTGAAAGCTAATCTTAAGAAAACCAGCCTTTTAATATGAAAATGAGTCATTTCTTTAGACAGAACATAATCTGATAAATTTATATCAAGCTCTTAATACATATTCTCAATTATTAATTTTAATTCTATCTTAGCTTATGATTTCAGTAAACCCTACTGAATGTACAGAACCTACTTACTTCAGTAACTGCCCCATCAATGAAAAGTCTGTACAATACATGAAAGACAATCTTAAAATGATTCCAATTACTTTACACACGCACATACACACAGAGACACACACACACAAAGACACAACCACACCCTTGGTAAAAAGACATAAAGCTGTCAAGGGAATACAATTTATCTTGACAAAACCCATCAACTGTAAAAGATTTTAATTAATGAGTTTTAAATGAGTGGGGGAAAAATACAGTCAGATTTTTTTTTAATCTTAAGCTTTTTCTCCATTCCAACTAATTTTTAAGTAATAAGTTTTATAATTTTTACCTAACAAAAATGCTTTCTGAATATGCAAGCCACTGCCATAGAGCAATTAACTTCTACAATCTGGAAACCCACTCCTACACAGGAGCAAAGTAGAAAACCTACCCAACTTTCACCTAGAAAAACATGCATTTCTTCACAGTAGTTACTAGTAGGCAAAGTTTTATATTTTTTTGCATTCTATGTAAATAATATCTTAATAAATATTATATTTAAAGTCTGTCTTTTGTGAAAAGTTACACTAGGATTTATTAACACCTGAAAATGTAATTAATTTTTTGGGTCTTTTATGGGAACTTCCTATATTTGGAACTTGAATAAGAATGGTATCCAGTTGTTAATGAAGCATTTTGTCTTTAGTTGTCAAAGAGTAAGCAAAACTCAGTAAGATAGTTTAATGGAATATAAGAACAACAAACAGTACATTTTAGTAGAAATCTGTAAGACACTATCCAACGTTAAAGAACTATAAAAGTGCTATGACATACTTATAAAGCAGCATAATTCTGTTGCCTTACCATATCATGCCTTCAAACAGATTTTGGATGACAAGGTGTGACTGAGTGACAGTTATCAGTAAAGTGACATGAGTCCATGCGAACTGTTAATAGCCCAACAATACAAAAATTAGTGAACACAACTGATCAGTGCAGCTGAAGAAGCAACAGCGATTTGAAACCCAAATTTCTACCATGACTTTTGGTCAAAATGTACAAGTTAGAGTCATATAAAATAAAAACACTGTTAGTAAATTATGTTTGTTTTGTTGCCTACTGGAACCTTAAAATAATGAAAACATTTAACAAAGTAACCTTAATTTATATATAAATAGAATTCTAATTATATAGTACTAACTTTTAAAACATATAAAAAATAAACCATTATCTTGAATCATTAGATTTAAGTGATGATGAGAGATTTCTGTTGCTGGTTTAACAACATTTAAAGGGGAACATTTTACTCTGGCTGCATTCTGCAGTTATTAACAAAATGCTAAAAAATTCCTTTTCTTTCAGAGTTTATTACGGTAACTTTTTCCCATAAAGAGTTATTTCCAACTTCAAATGATTCAAACCAGCAGGGTTCAATTGCCCTTAAACTCTATCTTTCATACTTGAAGGGTGATCGTGACAGGTCTGTTCAATGACAGTATTCAATTTCAAATTTTTAAAGACCTTTGTGTTTTGCCAATTCTATCTAGCCTGAGAGATGGCCACTTTTAATATAATCAATATGGTTTCCATGTACGAGTCTTATGATTTTGATTGAAATTCATAAAATTACTTTTAAAAATTCTTAAGATTTTGATTTATTCTCCCTGGACCCCCACCCTTGAGATAGGGTCTCACTCTGTCACCCAGGCTGGAGTGCAGTGGTGTGATCACAGCTCACTGCAGCCTTGACCTCCCAGGTTCAAGTGATCCTCCTGCCTCAGCCTCCCCAGTAGCTGGGACTACAGGTGTGTGCCACCACGCCCGGTTAATTTTCATATTCTTTGTAGAAATGGGGTATTGCCAGGTTGCCCAGACTGGTCTCAAACTCCTGGGCTCAAGGTATCCGCCTGCCTTGGCCTCCCAAAGTGTTGCGATTACAGGCATGAGCCATCGGCGCTTGGCCTTTTGATTTATTCTTAATAAACCTGTTTCCCATTTAAGCAACCATATTATATTGGTTGCTCTATTTTATTCTATTTTTATCTGCTTGAAAGATCCAATTCTCTTTTACTCTGATTGCTTAAAAATGCATTAATTAAATTTTTTCCAATAGATGCCATTTACATTTTCACTGGATATTCTACTATTTTTACTTGTCTTGTTTCTATATAAAATTCACTAAGAATTTTACTCTTCATGCTCAGATTCCCTTAAATTAGAAATACAAGAAACACAACAATTTCCCAGCAATTATGTTCAGCAGAATGTCTTAATGGAGAAAAGCTAAGCATAAAGAACAGAAAATATATTCCAAGTCCAAAATAAGCCTCACTATCACATGAATTTACAGATCTGAATACTACATTGCATTGTACAGTTGTACTAGCTACAGTTTAAGAAAATAAAAAAAGTTCATATGTAAAGTGATACATTTCTTAAGACAGGCTTTGGTACATTGAACAAAATATCTTATGCCAAAAAGAATTACACAATTCTATGACTAACCATAACCACCAAGATAATACATGCTCTGCTGCTTTATGCGCACGCCAAGTGCAAGTAAACATAGTTACTTTCATAGAACAATATGGTAGATGTTTCTCAGACATAGTAACTGTCCAGGAGACTAAGAAAATTCTTCAAATTTCTACAAATTTAAGGAACCCAAAAACTTTAATTTTACACCATTTGAAAATATTCAAAGAAAAAGTTTTTAGTAAACTTTGAAAACAGTTAAAATTTTAAAATCCTCACAAACTTCTCAACTTTAATAGTTTATATCTAATGGTCATCTGAAATCCAAGTATCCCTCACATTCATGCAAAACAACAGCTAGCAGATTCGACTGTATCTTCTCACTACAGAAAAAAAAAAGTTAAGGGTTTTTATCACAGATAATGACTAAGGAATAATAGTTAATACACACCATATAAAACTGCAGACGATAATGTTTCTTCACCAAACTCAGTACAAACATGCAGAAACCTGTTCAAGAACAAAAAACATGTGCTCGTTGTACAATTTGGTACAAAGGGTTAAGATTCCTTGAGCCCAAATAAACCAATTTGCTGTATCACAGCTAGGCATATTTTAGCTACTTACTCAGATGCCATCTCTCCTACTATCTTACATTAAGCATTTAAAGTAAGTTTCTTGAGGGAAACAATCTTGTACTCTCCAAAGTGCCTAATACATTCCATGGCACAAATTCAATAAACATCCTCTGCATTAATTCAATTAATTAGTCCCCTGCTAATATGTGGGCATGGAAAACAGATCTTAAATTTAAATTAAATAGTATTTATTTGCTATAACAATGCATCAAGTGTATGTACAGAATGTTTTCAATCTCTACATAATAGAAAAATTAATAATAACTATTATAACAGCTAAAGTCTATTGAATGCTTACTCTTTCTAGGCTCTTATCTAAGCATTTTATCTTTAATGATGATCCTTTATTACCAACTGATTTAATCCTTTCAAAATTCCTATAATATAGGTACTCATTTTTAGCTCCATTTTACAGATGAGGAAAAATGCACAAAGGGCTTTAATAATTTACTGAGGATCACAGGGCTAGAAAATAAACACTAAAATCCTATTGACCCTTAAGAGTCACGTGGTTCCATGAACTGAGATCAGCAAAATTCAGGTTAAGAACAATTTGCAATTTCTCAAAAGCATACAATAATTATAGTAAAATGTAATACTCTTAATAATGTAAAGATTTACAAACAGTATATGTATTTATGTTTACATTTTACAAATTTATTACAATGATAATTTATTAAATTCTAACCAATTAAGTGAAATCTAGTAATCATATACTAAAATAATGGGAGGCAATATGAATCACTTCTTGCCAAAAATACCAGTAAACGTCTAAAGATAGGTTTATTTTACAGAGGTGGATATTGAAAATATATAAACCAAATTTAATTTCAGATAAATGGCTATGTATGCATTCTATTCTGCAACATCCTTTTTTTTTCTTTTTTGAGTCAAGTGTCGCTCTATGGCTCAGCCTGGAATGCAGTGGCACAATCACAGCTCACTGCAGCCTTGAACTCCTGGCCTCAAGCGATCCTCCCACCTTGGTCTTCCAAAGTATCAAGATTACAGGTGTGAGCCACTGTACCCAGCCTCTGCAGTATCTTTAAAGAGTGAGTTCTCCAAGAGAGAAATTGAATTTTCAGTTGATCAATTTCTGTATAAATACTAGACTTTGTACATCCAAGTTATACTTATCAAGGCAATTCTACCAGTAGAGTAAACAAGGGTATTACTACTCTCACCAAGCAAAGAATCAAACAGCAGCTGCCTTTCGCTACTTTTGGTGATCAATTTGAAATGCCAAAGCATAAAGGACCATGACAAAATGAAGAGAATGAATACTGACCCCAATCCTATCTCACCTCCTATTTGTCATCTATGAGGTAATCCAACTAACTGGCCTGCACAAGCAATAGGGACACATTTTCTGAGTGGAGGCACAAATGAAAGCCATTATGTCACTTTATTGAGAGAAAGGAAAGAGAGAAAGAATGAGAGAGAGAGAGATACTAAAACATGAAATTAATGGCATCAAAATTACCAATTGTATGAAAGATTCCTTTAAAAATTCCTGCTTTTGAGTTTTTCTTCTACAGCAGGTAGACTTATCTTGAAGCTCAAGTAATAACATAATTTCTATGCTGTTTTTGTGCCACTGATCCGTGGTTAAAGGCAAACGTGGACTGGACTCGGTTCAAAGCCAATGGGTAAGGGGCAAAGCAGAGACACAAGACAGAAACCATGTTTTCTGTCCAAACAGACCCCTTGACTCTCCCAGCACAGCCTTGGGAACTTCTCAATATCATTAACTATGAATTATCTACTCACAAATACTACTCCAAAATACATGATTTTCTCTTTCTTGAAATGATAACACCATTCACCCTTACTTACATTTCTTCAAACACAATTACCAGTAGAATCATTTAACATTTTCCTAATGGACATTTTATCCAGGACAACCTTGGCAACTCACGTTTACATAATCCAATTTCACCTATGGGATACAATTGTCTGACTCCTAGATACAGTAAGATAATACAGTTCTCTGACTTAGAGGAAGGGGGAGGTATAAAGTGTTTTCCTAGCATAGCTGAGGCTAAATATAGTCATCTCTCAGTATCCCTGGGTGATTGGTTGCAGGATCCCCAAAGGACAAAAATCCATGGATGCTCAAGTCCCTTATATAAAATGGTATAGTATTTGCATATAACCTACTTACATCCTCCTGTGTATCTTAAATCATTTCTAGATTACTTATAATTCCTAATACAATGTAAATTCTATATAAATAATTGTTAGACTGTATTTTTCAGGGGATAATGACAAGAAACAAGCCTATACATGTTCAATAAAGACACAACCATCCATTGTGGTTTTTTTTTTTTTTTCAGAGTATTTTCAATCCACAGTTGGTTGACTCCAGAGATGCAAAACCCATGGATATAGGAGGGCCAACTGTGTATTATTTTTTAAAGAAAAACATTGTAAAAGAGAAACATATGAACTTAATCTTTCTCATTCACAACTATATGGATATATTAACATTTTATGTTTAAATACTTAAAAATACATTTATATGTTAATAAATCTGTGGAAACGGTCACTTTTTGTACAATTGGATCCATAGGTTTTTTCCCTGATTAACAAAGAATGCTTGTATAACTATTTCTAAATTAAAATCACAGAATGTGTTGTAGTAGTATAAATAAAAGTACTGAAAAGGCCTCCTAATATATAGTTCTTTATATAAAAGTTATACTTATCATCATTTATCTACATAGTATTGTGCCTGGTGTTCTCAATACAAAGATACGTACATCTCGTTGCCCAGCATCAAAGAGTTCTCCAGTCATTAAGCAGAACCAGTTACCCAACAAACTAAAGAGAGGTGTATTCAAAAATAACAAGAGAATCCAGGTGCAGTGTCCCATGCCTGTAATCCCAACACCTTGGGAGGCCAAGGAAGGAGGACTGCTTGAGGCCATGAGTTCAAGACCAGCCTGTGCAACACAGCAGGATCCTGTCTCTATGAAATAAAAGTAAAAATTAGCTGAGCAGGACAGCACACACCTGCAGTCCCAGCTACTTGAAAGGCTGAGGCTGGAGGATCACTTGAGCCCAGGAGTTTGAGGCTGCAGTGAGCTATGATCAAGCTACTATACTCCAGCCTGGACCACAAAGCAAGTCACCATCTCTTTAAAAATTTCTTTAAAAAGGAAGAAGAAGAGGATGAAGATTTTTAAGGGGGTCAGGAAAAGTAAAGGAAAAAACACAAGACACCGAAAAGCCCAATAGATGAGACAGAGGGAATTTCAGAAAAATAGATAAAAAAATATTTATCAAGCACCTTCGATATGCCAGAAACAAGATGCAAAAATGAATAAGATAGGCACTGCCATTCAGGAGCTCTTGCTCTTGTTGAAGACACCAAAAACAAAGAAAAAATAAAGTTGTTTTTAAAATTTACCATTGATGATTAGTCAAAATTTAGTAAACACATATAGCCCTTAATTCAAAAAGCAGACAGTAGGATGGGCCCAAGATTGAATACTAAAGCTTCTGACTCATCCCCCATTCTTCCGCTTGGTTATATTCTTCATTATACTTGCCTAAACCATCAAAACTTTCTAGCATCAAATTAAATAAATTCAAAATCACACTGCATTGTGTGCCTTTATTCAGACACCAGGCTATAACTGAGTTGTTCTGAAAAAGTTTTAAATGAATATGCATCGTGGAGATTACCATACAAACCAATCATCATATTAGTTAACATTTTAAAAAGTTTTCTATTAATCTGAATGGTTAGTCTAAGGTTTAGAACCAATACTAGCATGTGTATAGTGTTTAGCAGTCTTTAATTCAGAAATTTTAAGTAGTTTTGGAGATACAGTCCTTTGTGAATTATTTGTGACACTTTTCTAAAGATTTCATTAATATCCTCTGATATAAAAGATACTCAGGATGTTTGGGGAAAACATCTTAATTATGCATTAATTTTGGCTATAACTTAGTTTTATATGTCCATCAATTTTCTTGGACTCAAAGCATTATATTCAAGTCATATTATCTCCATAAGAACTTTAAAGAAATCAAAATAGCTATGCATGCACAAATACAAGCAAAAAATAATTTATTAAATATAATATGCACATCACTATAGTTGGATAAAGAAATGTAAGGTGATGATATTAAGGGTCAAACACCTTAAGTCTGTTTACACATCACTGCTAACCATATAATTGCATGACTGCTCTGGTTTCTAAAGAGCCCCAATTCCAAATCACCAAGTTGATGAGTTCTTTTTAATATATATCTAGACTCTAGAGAAAACGTTTGTTTTATTATTTTTAGTCTCCCTGATTTTCTCTGCTATCAGTCAAACTCATTTTGCAACAAAATTATCTAAATGTCAATATGACTTCTAGGTCCTAGTCAGTGAGACATTTTGTATAATATTAAACAAGTCATTTAATTTCATGGACCTCCATGAGGGGGTCAGAATTGGAGATACCTACATTTTATTTAAATAAAATTCAATGTCAATGAAGTAATTTGAACTGTCTCTGCTTTTTAAATCTGGTAAGACATACATTTTCTGAAGTCATTTGACCACTGTAATAGAACTAAAATTTTCACAGGGCACTTGGAATATTGTTTAACAGAAAGACTTGGATTCCAAAGATTTCTACAACATAATTTGAAAGAAAGGTACAAATATCTCAATGTTAGCATACTTTCTATTTCCATAGTCCTGTTTCAAAGTCTAACTCCATTTGCTAGACTAAGCTCACAAATGTTGCTAAGCACTTCAAGAGTAGCCACTAAGGCCTCAAGACTCAGCAAACAAAACACTGATACTAAGAAAATATCATTAAGAAGCACTGTGTGTGGATGTGCATGTTCTCAGCCTCTTAATCGTTTATCCAACAAATACATAGTCGGACCCTCAATGCCAGGCCTGCACTGCGCTCTGGGAATTAAATAAACAAGAGAGGTACACCATGGGTGCTTTTGGTCTAACCGAGCCATTTTTAGGCAACGCTTAAAATGATAATAGACATATAGTATTCTATGCCTGTTTTATACTGGAAGTTACATCATTTAACTGAGTAGCTCCTAGCTTACTATGAGGTTGCATTTTTAAAGTATATCTGTAGAGCTGGGCGTGGTAATACACGCCTGTAATCCCAGCTACCAAGGAGTCTGAGGCAGAAGGGTAAGTTGAGTCCAGGAATTCAAGACCAGCCTGGGAAAATAGTGAGATCCTGTCTCAAAATAACAAACAAAAAGTACATTTGTGTGACTGTAATGATGTCAATATCCTGGTGTGATGTACTATAATTTTGCAAAATACTATCATTGGTGATAACTGAGCAAAGTGTAAAAAGATCTATTATTTCTTACAACTGCATGTGAATATGCAATTATTGCAACAAAGAAGTGCATTTTAAGCCAATAACTTGTGATATATAAACAACTTTTCATAGACTGTCATAAAATAGCAGTTGGGTTCTACGATCAGCCTGTGGTATTTTTATTTTCTATGTTTTTTTTGTTTGTTTGTTTGTTTTTTTTGAAATGGAGTTTCGCTCTTGTTGCCCAGGCTGGAGTGGAATGGCATGATCTCGGCTCACCGCAACCTCCACCTCCTGGGTTCAAGGGATTCCCCTGCGTCAGCCTCCCGAGTAGCTGGGATTACAGGCATGCACCACCACGCCCGGCTAATTTTGTATTTTTAGTAGAGATGGGGTTTCTCCATTTTGGTCAGGCTGGTCTTGAACTCTTGACCTCACGTGATCCACCCACCTCAGCCTCCCAAAGTGCTAGGATTACAGGCATGAGCCACCGCGCCCGGCCTATTTTCTAACTTATTACTCATTTAGTATTAACTACAAACCAGAAGAGTTTAGGTCATTACTACATTTAGTGTGGATTACAGTAGTAACTTCCTATCTAGTCTGCCTGATCATGTCTCCCAACCTACTTCATTTAATTACAAATCTGGTTATATCATTTCTTAGCTTAAAATCCTCCAATGTTTTCCCAGATATAAAGTCCAAACCTTTCCCATGACATACAGATTTTCTTAAGATGTGGCTCCTACCTACCTTCCCTATCTTCAATGCCTCCATGAACCCAAAACATGCAATCCTTTCTCATTCTCATGCCTGCACAGCTGTTCCTCCGCCTGGAATGGACTTTTCTACTATACGATACCTGGCAACTGCCTGCTTGCTCTTTCCTTTTCATGAAACCTGTCATCTCTTCTCAAAGGCCTTCCATGGCCTTCCTTCCTCTTCTTCATGCTCCTGACAGGACTTGTTCACATTTCAGCAATGAACTAGAAGACTCACATCTTACCAATTTCAAGACCCTGGAAAGCACACAATCACTTCATCTCCCTTTATATCCTCAACATCATTCACAGTATCTAGCTTTTGGAAAACACTGAAATGTTTGCTCTAAGAATGACTTTGATGACTTTCAGTAAGTTTCTGTGATTCTAAGAGTGTAAAATAAGAAATGGTAAAACATGTCTATGGCAGAAATAAGTATACGGTTAGAAAAATGAAGAAATACCAGGCCAGACATGGTGGCTCATGCCCATAATCCCAGCACTTTTGGAGATCAAGGCAGGAGGATCACTTGATCTCAGGAGTTAGACACCAGCCTGAGCAACATAGTGAAACTCCATCTCTACTAAAAATACAAAAATTAGCCAGGCACAGTAGCGCATGCCTGTAGTCCCAGCTACTTGGGAGGCTGAGGCATGAGAATCACCTGAACCCAGGAGGCAGAGGTTGCCATGAGCCGAGATCGCGCCACTGCACTCCAGCCTGGGCAATGGAGTGAGACTGTGTTTCAAAAAAAAAAGACACAACATTGATTGTATTTTATAGAAGTAGAGTCCAAAAAGTCATATATGGAACAAAGAATTACTAAAAAGGGGCTGGTTAGGAGGCTATGAAAGACAAAATATATAAAAAGAAACAACAAAGAAAATGAACTACACTATCGGTCCACACTCAATTGAGATGTTATTCTCAAGCATAAATTATAGCAAAACCAAAGGGGAAAACAGTAATCACCTTATATGCTGACATTCTACCTCTCAGCTATTGCTGTATATCAATATAGATGTAACTGCAGATATGGATACAATGATAGATGTAGATGTGCCAATATAAATCCATCTATAAGCTATTAATATATGAAGTGGAAAAATGGTACAGAAGAGATACTCTTACTTGCATAAGAAAAAGGGAGGGGGGATATAAACATAAAAGCTTGAATACTCAGACAATTTCTGGAATAACAGTAGTAAGCCTCCAGATATCGTAAGTAAGGCACTGAGGTGGAGGAGGATTTCATGGAATACTCCTTTCTAGTCTAAATTTTTATCATGGGCATATATTTTCATTTAAAAAAAAAAACTAGTTTTTTTTTTTTTGTTTGTTTTTTTTTTTTTGAGACAGAGTCTTGCTCTGTCTCCCAGGCTGGAGTGCAGTGGCAGGATCTTGGCTCACTGCAAGTTCCGCCACCCAGGTTCATGCCATTCTCCCGCCTCAGCCTCCCAAGTAGCTGGGACTATAGGCGCCCACCACCACGCCCAGCTAATTTTTTTTTGTATTTTTAGTAGAGACGGGGTTCCACCGTGTTAGCCAGGATGGTCTCGATTTCCTGACCTTGTGATCCGCCTGCCTCGGCCTCTCAAAGTGCTGGGATTATAGGTGTGAGCCACTGCGCCCAGCAAAAAAAACTAGTTTAGGCCTCTTGAAACACCTGGCTCCTGGCATGCTCCCCATTCAGAACCCGGGCTGCCTGTCCCATCCAAGCCACATGGAGGGGCCACAGGTCAGTGCCCAAGTCAGCAAGCGGCACGAACTGCAGTCATGAAAAGGAGCCATCTTTGATGTCCAGCCCACTCAAGACATGAGCACCCGCCTCTGTCTCATGGCAACCACGTGAGAGGCCTGGGGTTAGAACGGCTAAGTTAAGCCCGCCAATCCGCAGGACTGTGAGCAAAAATAACAAATTGTTCTAAGCCAAGGGAAAAATAAAACTAGTTAAGGCTTTTTGTTTTTAAATGATAGTTTGTATTCCATCCTGGTATCCCTGCAAAATAACATTAAAATAAATTAAGGGGAAGCCCCACAAGAACAGAGAAAACTGAAGAAATGTGAAGGAGAAAAGAAGAAACATGTCTACAAAATTTGGAAGCTAGAAAACAGATAGAAAACTGTTAGTAGGCCTGAGAAATTACAGGTGCCTAAACGTATTTTCTACAGAAACTAAGGAGAAAGGGCCCGGTGGAAGGCAAGACTGAGGCCTAGGCTTCTGACCTGGATTATTAAGTAAAAGTCCAACAATAAGTGTGAGCCCTAGCCAAAGCAATCAGCTGTAAGAATAGACTAAAGATATCTTTAGAAATGCACAAACATAAGACAACTACCTTCTACACATCATTTCATAAGAAACTACAGCAGGCCATGCTTCAGCAAAGTGAGGGTGTTAACTAAGAGATGGAAGACTGGGATGGAAGAAACCGGCTCAAATCATGAGGACAGCTCAGCAGTGGGCCCATATGCAGCCAGCTCACACAGGAACAGGAATGCAGAGGTCTCTGGCACAGAAGTCTCCATGAAAAAAGGCAATTGATATACTATCTGACTTGTGTAAACATCTGAAAATACTACCAACAGACATGGGTCAAACCTAAAGGAAAAATTAAGGATTTCTACACTGAAATTAGCAAATATGGGAAAGAGAAGGTGAGGCAGTTCCTCAAGTTCGGGAAAAACAAAAAGTTGTAAAAGAAGGAAATGTAATCATAGATACTATTTGGCTCTACAGGAAGTGATATTTTAGGTACCTACTTAATGCTAACTATTACTATAAAAAAACTGAATATGAAGAAGTAAAGTAGGTTATAACAGGAAGTGAATAGATAATGCCTAAAGTAAACTAAGAAACAGGCCTATTACTTACAGAAAAGGAAAAACTCTCAAAGCGGTGGGGTGCAGGGTTGCTGTTTACATCATAATTCTTTTGAAATTCAGTTTGAAAACTAATGTGCAGATATTAATGATAGAAATGATTTATGTTTTAATTAACCACAATTGTTCTTTTATTATTATTATTATTATTTTGAGATGGAGTCTCGCTCTGTCGCCCAGGCTGGAGTGCAGCGGCATGATTTCAGCTCACTGCAGCTTCTGCCTCCCAGGTTACAGCGATTCTCTTGCCTCAGCCTCCCAGATAGCTGGGATTACAGGCACCTGCCACCGCACCCGGCTAATTTTTTTTTGTATTTTTAGTAGAGATCGGGTTTCGCCATGTTGGCCAGGCTGGTCTCAAACTCCTGACCTCAAGGGATCCACCTGCCTCAGCCTCCCAAAGTGCTGGGATTACAGGTGTGAGCCACCGCACCTGGCCCGCAGTTGTTTTAAATAATTACAAGAATAATCACATGAAACAAAAGTGTTGGGTTCAATAACAGAAGATACCATAGACTCTTTGACTGTTGGTATTATCATCAAAACTCAAAATGCCAGAAGTCTTGTTACCTTAAATATAAACTGAGAAGGTACTACATTCTTCTCTCCCATAATAAAAAAAGAATCCATTCCAGAATCTACCTTACCTTTAACAAAATAAATCAAGCTTACTGGTTTGGTAAATGAGAGAAAATACTCAAAGTTTCTACAAAGAATACCAAGAAAATGCACAAATGTGCTTTGATAAACACAGAATCAGAGTCAAGTGTTTTACTCTCCAAAATTTTAGTATGGTCTTCTTAGCTGATAACAATCATAATCTCTCCATGATCATAATCCTTCCAACTGGTCAGAATTTAAAATGGACCAACTACCATCATATGAGTACCAGTAAAAGAGTAGAAATTTTTCAATACCTATTTCTAGGAATGTACTTTCTATAGATATAGCAGTGAAAAGTTTTTTTAAATGAAGGAACAAATTTGGAAAGCTGAACTGAACAATAAACCTGAATGAAAGGCTGGGTGCAGTGGCTTGTGCCTGTAATCCCAGCACTTTGGGAGGCCAAGGCGGAAGGATCCCTTGAGCCCAGGAGTTCGAGACCAGCCTGGGCCACATGGGGAGACCTAATCTCTGGGAAAATAAAATGAAATTTAAAATTTTAAAAAGTAACAAAAAACCTGAATGTAAAAGGTGGAAAATTATTCGAAAATGTATTCCTCCTCATTACATAAAAACAAGTTCTCTGAAAATTCCCATTACCATTTCAGATTGTATTTCACTTTCTGGCTTTTTAGAATTAGAAGGCCTAGGAACTGAAGGAGCTGAGGGGCACCAAGAAGAACATCATAACTATTTAATGAAATAGCATACTTCTACAGGACTGGACATGCTTCCCCACATACTCTGTATATTTTTAAAGAGAAATGGAAAAGAATTACCCAGTTTCTAAGATTGTACCAGGAGAAAAATTCATTTATTGGGAAACTCCTAGGAGCTAAAACAATAACTAGTAACAGCTAAGGTGAAAACTCACAAACAAACTTCATGTCCTTCTTTTAAAGTGAAAATAACAATAAAAAAAATTTAAGTAGTGCCAGGTACTATTCTAAGTGCTTTACAAAGAAACTGAAGCACAGAGAAATTAATTAAATATCTCATTTTTGTTTGTTTGTTTGCTTTTTGAGATGGAGGTTCCCTCTTGTTGCCCAGGCTGGAGTGCAATGGTGTGATCTCGGCTCACCGCAACCTCCGCCTCCCGGGTTCAAGCGATTCTCCCGCCTCAACCTCCTAAGTAGCTGGGATTACAAGCATGCACCACCATGCCCGGCTAATTCTGTATTTTTAGTAGAGACGGGGTTTCTCCATGTTGGTCAGGCTGGTCTCGAACTCCCAAACTCAGGTGATCCGTGCACCTTGGCCTCCCAAAGTGCTGGGATTACAGGCATGAGCCACCACGCCCAGCCCAAATATCTCACTGTTTACTCAACCAGTAATTGGTAGGTCCAGAATTCAAATGAGCAATCTGGCTTTTAAAAAGCACATTTAAAAAAATCAATTGCTTAGGGGTTTTTATGATCTGTAAAATTTCATAGAAAAGATATCTGTAAATTCTAACTTTATCTTAAGAATCTAATTTTTAATTTAAAAATTACAAAAACATGTGGCATAGCATACTATAAACAGTTGCATATATTATAAACTATGTCTAAAAAACTAATTAGGCCAGGCGCGGTGGCTCATGCCTGTAATCCCAGCACTTTGGGAGGCTGAGGCAGGCGAATCACGAGGTCAGGAGATTGAGACCATCCTGGCTAACACGGTGAAACCCCGTCTCTACTAAAAATACAAAAAATTAGTCGGGTGTGGTGGCGGGGGCCTGTAGTCCCAGCTACTCGGGAGGCTGAGGCAGGAGTATGGCGTGGACCTGGGAGGTGGAACTTGCAGTGAGCTGAGATCACACCACTGCACTCCACCCTGGGCGACAGAGTGAGACTCCATCTCAAAAAAAAAAAAAAAAAAAAACAACTAATTACCCTGATTAGTTCTACATGAAAAAGCTCTATTTCCTAGGGACAAATAAAGCAATATATATGTGAAAGTTTTTTCATAAATTAAATTTGGTTAATAATTTTTATTTACTTAAAAGTTTTTTTACTACAATTTGCAAAGAAAATTTTCAAACATATGGAGTGATTCTTTCTTTTTTTTTTTTTTTTTTAGATAAGAGTTTTGCCCAGGCTGGAGTGCAATGGCGTGATCTCAGCTCACGGCAACCTCTGCCTCCCAGGTTCAAGCGATTCTCCTGCCTCAGCCTCCTGAGTAGCTGAAATTATAGGCATGTGCCACTATGCCCGTCTAATTCTGTATTTTTAGTAGAGACGGACTTTCTTCATGTTGGTCAGGCTGGTCTCAAACTCCCGACTTCAGATGTTCCACCTGCCTCAGCCTTCCAAAGTGCTGGGATTACAGGAGTGAGCCACCGCACCCGGCCTGGAGTGATTCTTAACAAGCACTTTTTAAACCCACTATAAGGGAGTAATTGCTATTTAAGAACATGATGAAAGAAATAGCTTTATACACAAGAAACAATGAAAAAGAGAGGCTGGAATAAAATTTAACCAAAAAATTACTAATTAAAATAACAGAAATAAAAATAAACATGGAAAATATGTTAACTATATATCAATACAGAATATTCCTTAACTTACCTGCCAGATAGAGGGCAAATGATATAAATCTATGGTAGCGAATGAGGAACTGAAGTTGTTCTTCTCTTTGAACAAATGTAGCAAAATAATCAGCTACAGTCTCTCCATAGAAAAAGTAGTTTACACACAATAGAAAGTACCTATAATTTAAAAACAATTAGCTTTTCTATATTTGAAGCTTTCCTTCCCCTCAAACTCAACAAAATTATTTTCTACATTCTGATGACACAAAGATCAAAACAAAGTTCAGAAGACCAATTCAAGATATATTTTACCAAAATGCTATTTTCCTGTTTTAAACTTAATTTCAAATTTATTGATTAGCAAAAATTTACCAAACATAGTTCATACCTTTATTTAGCTGAAAATCTAATGCCAGAGATAATTAGGAAACAATGTAGAAAATACTACACACACACAATCCCTCACCCTTGGGAGGCGGGAGCAGTGTGTGTGTGTGTGTGTGTGTGTGTGTGTGTGTGTGTGTGTATAAATTTAATACTTTGTGTGTATGTATAATGTGTGTATGTTTGTGTGTGTGTATGATTTTAATACTTTGTATGTATGTATAATGTGTGGGTGTATATATTGAGGGATTAAGTTCATAATGAAAATTAACTCGTAACTACTCACAGCTCTAATGCTTTTTAATAGTAGAAGTCCTAAGACAAATCCCCACCTGTCCTCAGGAAGATTAGGAGGGAAAGAAAGAAGAGGTAATTCAACCTGTCTCCCCACTGCCCTGCACACACTGGTATCTCCCCTCTTCTAATGCTCCTAGTGGACTCCAGATGAGCAGGGATGCTTCCTCTGTAAGGCAATCAAGGCCTAACCTGGTCTACCAATCCAACTATTTACCCACTGTCCGCTAATCAATACCATCTGCTCAGAAGGGCCAGGAATGTCTCATCAACGGTAGTATAAGTACATCTGTCCCACATCTAGAAACTGATGGGTGCTACATCCCCAACTAGAAAACTCTTCTTTATCCAAAACTTGTCTTCATTTCAAATACCAGTTTATCTTTTACCTCTTGTTTGACACCTTCTACAATCACTGGAGCCCATCCTTATTTATCTTCTCTTCTTAATAATACTTAGAATCAATACTGCATGGTTTTACATTTAATTATTCTCCAATTACTTTATCTATCTAACATTTCCTGTATACTTTGCCACTCGTGAAGAAACCTGCTAGAAGGAAAAATCAGCTATCACCGAAATCAAGACACTTCTTTTTGACTATTCTAAACCCCATCTGTTTTAAAAAGACACTGACTCCCTGGTTGATATTTATCAACTATATTAAAAAGGATGGCCACTTGGGTTAAATATGAACTATAATGTTATCATGTTTCCTAGTCAAGGTTCTGAGAGCAATGATTTATATATGAAAAGTTTTAAAAGATATAAAATTTTAAATGTTAATATCATTATGGTGATTTTGTTACTAACTTTATGTGCATTTGTATATATACAATATGTTGTATGTTATCATGTCAACTGAGAGGAAATGAAGGAAAATGAAGGAAAAGATTATATGTAAATATTTTGCTAAAATTATTATTGTAAAGGATACAAAAATGTTTCCAATACAATGTTTAGTTTTTTATTAAAAAAAGGACAAGAATGGTGTATATATTCACATATTAGATATCTCTACAAAGACTAAAATATGAGATCTGAAAAAAGTTGTATTGGAGTAGGAAAGACAAAGGTGATCTTTTCAAAATTCAATTACATTATTTTTATTTATCTTTCTCTAGAATCAATCTATAGGGTAAATTGAGTGGATACTGACTGATCAAGACGCTTCCTTTACAAACTTCAGAAATTAACTTTTCATATCTGAAATAGTTTCAAGCTTACTTACCAACTTAGTGTTCTAAACCATGGTAGATCATAAGAATGATAGACTCTATAACCTATAGTGATAATTTCATGGAAGCATTTCACTTGGATGCCCAGAACCTGAAACCAAGAGAAAACATTAACATACATTTCTCAATGTTTACATTTGTGCTTAATCATTCAATAAAGCAGTTTGTCATATGTATTTAAAAAATCTTAATCTACCAATGTTTAATTATGCTAAATGTCAGTAAAAAATGCAATATTCCATGTCTCTAAAATCAAGTGATAACTCAAAGGGGTAGGCAAAATAATGTTTTACTCAAAAAGGCTTGGAAGATCCTTCCTGGGGTGGGGAATGGCAATGGAGTTTAAAGTTTGAGGGATATAGTCTGGTTGGCCGCAGTTGACTAGGATTTATCCCTCATTACTACTTCATTCTTGAGATTGTCCTTGTCAAGATGGAGAATCTTTTTGTCCAACCTGTCCATTATGTTTCTTGAGATACCCTAAGAAAATCATATATGAAAGTTTGCTTGCACATATTTATTTGTAACCATGCATTGTTATACCTGCAAATAATAAAGATACTGTCAGGACAAATAGTTAGAACACTTTCTAGCCAGTCACCCTGGAATGGCCTTTTCATCCTCCCAGTTGTGTCAACTCTCCCATAGCCAGCTACTGGCTGCTCAATCTAAGCTGGGCTACCTTAGCAAAGTATAAGCAACCTTCCACATTTGCAGCCACTTTGGCCAGTCAACTGAGTTTATGCATTTCTGTTTACACAGTGTCCTGATTGCACACCTATTAAACGGGTTTAGATTTATAAATCCCTTTTTGATGTTCTATTTTGTAGTCCTTCAAACTGCTGCATTCAGCAACCTGGGTGAAGGTAATTTCTCAAGATGTAGCATCACACCCGGTGCTTGACCTGTCGATTCCAAGACTCAAAGAGCAAATGGCAAGTTGAACACTTATTATCATGAATTAAGAGGTAAAAATCTTTGTGAATACAGCAGACTAGCTTTTCAGCGTCTAGAGAACACACCCCAAGGGCTTGTTTTTATACTGTCCTTGAGCTAAGAATGGATTTTTATATTTTTTAAAGAGTTATTTAAAAATAAAATATTATGTGACTGAAACATATGCAGCTCCTTAAAGCCTAAAATATTACTATCTGGTCCTTTAACAGAAAAAGCTTACCAAACTCTGTCAGAGGATATATTCCGGGATTTCTTTTTAAGATTTCCACAAGTTAGTTTTCCAAAACCTACCATTCAGGGTATTTTTAAGTTATTTTTTCCCATTATACTGATTACGTGTCCAATCACATACTTTAAAAAGTAAATGTGTCTTTCCAGCCACATGATAAAGAAAAGTACGTCAAACCATAAACAGTACTTGTAGGCAAAAGTCATAAATGTGTTATAAAGACAGGAGGAAATCTAAGTGTCCTTCTTCAAATAACCTTTGTATATAATATCAAGTCATTTCTAACAAAAATACAGAACGGAGACAATGTTTAGTATTAAGATAAAACGGTAAAGCAAAGTTAGTCAGATCCAAAGGGCTTTTAAAATATCATACTGATGTAATTTCTATGAACATATTTGCTAGGGTACATCCACTGGCACTATAAATTGTATTTCTTTTACTGAGAGGAGAGAACAAAAGTATTTTTAATAACACGCATTATATTTATATGATCATCAACTATAGCTTGCAAGGACAATTAATATGGAACTTCTAGGAAAACAGAAAACAAAAGGTTCCAAATAGTAGTGTTGAAATCCTTCAACTATATGTGTATCTTCCAGGACTGGAGGATTACACAGAAATTAATACTCCACACCATCAACACTGGTAGCAATGTACACTCATAGGACTCTGTTGGCCCAATTAATGTTTCAAGAACCTTAAAAACAAGTCAGTATTTAAGTGTCTACTCTTTACTAGTTACTGAGGACTTATAGAAATAACATAGGGCATCTGTTCACAGAGAGGTACAGTCTCTCAGGGAGGAAACACGACTACAACCCATGTGAAATAGGCAAATGGACGTGTGTAGAGGCAGACACACCTGTGGCAGGGGGAGGGGGTGGGCAACGGCAGAGCCAGAGGAGGAGGATCTGCAGAGTCACCACCTGTAGAGGGAATGGGGCGTATTAAGGGAACTACTAGGAGGGTGGAGTTGCTGGAAGACAAAGGTGGGGGTAAGAAGGAGAGAGAGATGAGCCTGGTCCTGGAATCCTAGGAAACAGCAGGAAGCAGTGCACCGAGGAGTTGAAGCAACATGACTGGACATGAGAGTTTGGGAGAATAAGGTGGAAACAGTGGGCTGGGGCGGTGACAAGAGTCAAGGCAGTCAGGAGGCAAGATGCCACTTCACTATCCAGGTGAAGTGGTAGCGGAGTAGAGAAGAAGACAGGAGAGAAGTATAGGGGGTAGAACTGACTAGACATGGTGCGTGAGGAAATTGAGGGGCTAAGGGAGAAAAGGGAACACAAAATAACACCAAGGAAGGCTTGGGAAAGTAGACAATATGAAAGAATTATACAAATTGGGTCAACTGTCATATTCAACTAAGATCAGAGTTGAGGGGCCAAGCGGAAAAAGCACTCAGGGCACACAGCACCTGCTCCACGAATTATCCAAAGCCCAGCTTCTGAAACAGCTGGCCATACCGTCAGACCAGTTTTACTTGGTGGCTGCTGAAACAACAATGTGCCATGACTCTAAGACTAATTTTACCTGCCACCACTGTCACTCACCAGTCAGAGCCTGCCAACTCCCCAAAAGTGCACTAGTGCTAATGGGCTTTCTTTCAAAACAATATGTAGCATTTCTCTCTTTAATAAAACTCCCAACCTTCTCTTTATTCTTTAGACATATCAAAGACCACCCTGGTCTGGGTATATGCTCTGAAGTGCAATTTTGTTTTTTTAAAAAATATATATACATTCCCAAATAAAATGCTTTGCATAGAGATTTGTCTGTGTATTGTTATTTAACTTTGACAACAGATTTACTCTGGATGGCCGAGGTATGGACTAGAAGTTCAGATCTGGTCATTTTGAGTATGAACTATATTGAGTACCTATGGGTTATTCAAATAAGTGTCTATTTTCACTTTGCAAATTTTTTCTAAGAAAATACTCCCACATATAAAGTTAGAGCATATTTATGTTCTAATATGTTCATGATAGTGTTATTCACAATAAAAAAAAGAACATAACCTGAATGTCTACAAATAACACAATGATTTGAATAACTTTAAATGATGCACTGAATGAATTCAGATATTCATTCACTGTAAGTGAATAACTCCATGATGAACTACATTCCATCAAGCAGACAATCTAGTAAAGCTAATGATTATAAAGACCACAGAACAACACAAAACTTTTTTTTAAAAGTTTGGTTTTTTTAGAGATAGGGTTGTGCCATATTATCCAGGCTGGACTCAGACTGGAATTTCAGGGCTCAAGTGATCCTCCTGCCTCAGCCTCTCGAATAGCTGAGACTACAGGTGTGTGCCACCGCACCTGGCCACAAAATTTTTGATGTGATATTTAGCTTAAAAAGCAGGATGCACAATGTTAGTCACATTATTATTATGACCACAGTTTTAAAAACATATAAATTAAGCAAAAAGTGATGAAATAAAATGTAACACTACTAACTGCATTTTGGTGGTTAACAATAGGGTTGGAATGATTATTTTTAATTATCTATTTTCCAAAGTAATTTGATCACACGTATACAACTCTCATAATAGGAAAAAGTAAACACACTATTTAAAAGTAAACTACATAGCACGAATTAAAAGTTAATGACAACAGTTTCCAAGAAGGCAGGGGGGGAAAAAACCTCTTTCAATATCTTCTATATGTTCACATCTGCCTTTAAATCAAAACATGCTTTAGTAACTCCATCACTTAGAAAGTATGATTCTAAGCTGTGAATACAATTTAAAAACTACAAATAGAAGGCCTTTTAAGGAACATGGGTATGCATTCCATATTAAAATAGTACCTGTAATTTCCTAGAAGTTTTGTTTGTTTGTTTTTTGAGACAAAGTCTCACTCTGTCGCCCAGGCTGGAGTGCAGTGGCGCGATCTCGGCTCACTGAAACCTCTGCCTCTTGGGTTCAAGTGATTCTCTTGCCTCAGCCACCTGAGTAGCTAGGACTACAGGTGTGCGCCACCACATCCAGCTAATTTTTTGTATTTTGAGTAGAGACAGGGTTTCACCATGTTGGCCAGGCTGGTCTTGAACTTCTGACCTCAAGCAATCTGCCCGCCTTACCCTCCCAAAGTGCTGAGATTACAGGCGTGAGCCACTGTGCCCGACCTCCTAGAAGTTTTTAATAAAACTATATTGAATTAGTCATTTTTGAGTGCTGACATTATAAGGCAACTGCAAGCTAGATACAACATGTCCTTCTCAAAATATAAATGATCTAGTTAAGAATAGGAATAGAAACAAGGTTTTAAAACACATAAAGTAATATCAATTGAGTACCAACTATATGTGTGAATCATCCATATTCTCTTAACACAAATATCATAAAAACATAATATATATATATATATCTATGCATGTATGTGTATGTAATAAACTTAAATAACCAATAACAGTTCAAACCTACTTTACTTAGATCTTTAATATTCTTTTTTTTTTTTTTTTTTTGAGACAGGATCTCACTCTGTCACCCAGACTGGAGTGCCGTGGTGTGATCTCAGCTCACTGCAACCTCCACCTCCCAGGATCAAGCGATTCTCCTGCCTCAGCCTCCCAAGTAGCTCAGATTACAGGCACACGCCTCTACCACCCGGCTAATTTTTGTATTTTTAAAAGAGACGAGGTTTCACCATTTTGGCCAGGCTGGTCTCAAACTGACCTCAAATGATCTACCTGCCTCGGCCTCCCAAGGTGCTGAGATTACAGGCGTCAGCCACCGCACCTGGCCAGATCTTTAATACTCTTATTTTCTTCTTTAATTAAACTCACCAATTGAAGCAAATAACTAGTAATAAGATCATATTTTCCTTTCATAGTAGAAAAAAATAAACAAAAAAACTCAAGTACCGTAGGCACACTTATGGTTCTCTTAAAAAATCAGAATCCAAATGTATGCATGCATGTCTTTAAAACTGTCTTGAATTTTGTCTTAAAGAGTGGTTAGAAAATAGTTTTTATCCACAAATTCTTGCCCTAGTTATTATACTCAACAGTTCAGTTTGGAGAAAAATGTAAATCACAGGGGAACCCACCAAACCTGCCGAAGTCACTGTATCTAGGATACTGGTGGTTTCTGATATCTTAGATCAACATTTTCTTCTTACTCCTTACCTTTCCCAAATAAATTCTTCTTAATTCTTAATTCCAAATAAATTCTCCCAAAATACTTCTCCTTACTGCTTCCCAAATAAAACCCAAACTTCTCCACATAGCAAGGCCCTCCAGAATCTGATCTCTAATTATTTTTCAGCCCTGTGCTCAAGGAAAAAGCACCTTTTTCTGCCACCGAGGAAGCACCGTGAGCAAAGGTCCAAGTGGCACACTTCTAGCCACTTGGACCTTTGCTCACAGTGCTGCCTCCACCCTGATACACTGCCCAAAATCATACTCAAAGGTCCCTTCACCCACAAAGACTTGTGGAACTCCTTGCTCTCACTTGGTCCCTTCTTCCTCAAGCCTGCCCACTCACCACCTAGCATTGAAAAGTGCTCTGCACACACTTGCTTCTTAAATGCCCAAGTCCCAGGGCCAATGGTGATCATTTTAGCCCTTGGCACATTCAGCGACAGAAGACTGGGAGCTGGGGGCCTCTTCCTGGAATCAAATGCAGACAATTTCCCACGCCTGCCCACTTGGCTTTCAAGCTCCGCTTCCTCTGCTCTCACATTAAGTCTGTCCTATTTATTATCCATTTTTCCTTTGTGAGAAAAAGCACTTTAAGATCTTAGCAAATTAGCAGAAAAAGAAATTAACTTCTTATTCATTTTCATTACTTGATTTCCCCAAGGAAGTGAAAAATTAATGAGAGGACAAAAAGAGAAGTGAAAG
Source organism: Homo sapiens (assembly GCF_000001405.40). Taxonomy (NCBI): domain Eukaryota; kingdom Metazoa; phylum Chordata; class Mammalia; order Primates; family Hominidae; genus Homo; species Homo sapiens. The sequence goes on along the minus strand of NC_000004.12, from coordinate 84,611,608 downwards.
AGGCTTTGAGGTGCTTATAAAAGCCACTTTAAGTGGCTTCAAGAGCTGATGGAATTTTTTTTCATCATGTCTAATTTCACATCAAAACTTATTCTTTTATAAAATAAAAGGAAAACCATATCATATAGCTCATAAGCTTATGAGCTATGAATAGAATTGAATATGGAGGGAGATTGGCAAAATGGATAAACACATTTCTAAGTGGGCAAGAGAAATCAGAGATGAAGGAGATGAGTACATAAGAAGAACCTGGATTAACTGAAAAGGAATGAGAAAAAGTAATAACAATGATAATACCAATAAAGAAGGCCACAGGGCACCCCGGAGGGCAGGCTCTCACTGTGTGCTGTCAAACCATGCTCAGCACTGCCTAAGTGCTTGATGAATGCATTGAACAAATGCATTTCTCCTCGGTTCCAACACTTGTGGGCTTCAAATGTTTCATGCTTTAAATATCTGGGCTTTTGCCCACAGAAATCCTCTGCCTGTGATGGTCCTCCCCAAGACTCCATCCTTTACCTTGTTGATTCCCACTCAACCTTCAGATTGCAGCCCACGTGCTTGGCACTGTGCCTCTGGAAAGTCTCCCAGCTCCGTCTTTGCTCTCTTAGTATTATTCTTTTTCTCAAATGCTTATTGTAGTTTGTAATTATATATAGTCATGTGTTGCTTAACAAGGGGGTATGTTCTGAGAAATGCATCGTTAGGCAATTTCGTTGTTGTGCCAACATCATAGAGTATACTTACAAAACCTAGATGGTATGGCCTCTTATACATCTAGTCTATATGGTATAGCCTATTGGTCCTAGGCTATAAATTTGTACAACATGTTACTTTACTGAATACCGTTGGCAACTGGAATAAAATCATGAGGCAACAGGAATTTTTTGGCTCCATTATAATCTTATAGGACCTCTGTCGTATAGTTGTCTATCACTGACCAAAATGTCATCAGGTGGCATCTCACTGTAAATACATAATCAGCTCTTTAAAGTGCAGATAGTATGCTCCATGAGGGCAGAGACAGGTACATTTTTCTCAGTACCACTGTATCATCCCTAGAACTAACGTAATGCCTGGCATATAGCAGGCATCTTGGAACCGTTTGTTACACGAATGAATGAAGGGTTTAAATACTTGTTTGGCTTCCTGACTTACTGAGCTTCCCACACACACCAAAATCCAAAACTCCCAGAATGGTTTTTCCTTGCCTCTCCAGTGCCCTATATAGACACCCTCTACATGTGCAACTTGCAGATCTTCCAATGGACCGCATCCTCTCACTACCTCCATGCCCCGCTCATGATGTCTCCACTTTGGAATTCCTTCCTCTGTCCAGTATTCAGGACTCGGCTTCGGCACTGTCTCTTCTGGAAGCCCCTCCTCATCCCTCCCTCAGACTGGATTAGGTGCTTTTCTACCATGCACTCCTAACATGTTCTATCATAGAACTTATCTCGCTTATTTATCATGCTATTTATTCATATGGTTACTTGTATGTTTTTCCTATTACACTGAGTTCCTTGAAATCAGGGATCTAGCTAATAGTCATATGTTGATGTTATATGTGTGTGTATTTCTGTCATTTTTTTTTTTTGAGATGGTCTGTGTTGCCCAGGCTGCAGTGCAGTAGCACAACCACAGCTCACAGCAGCATCAACCTCCCAGGCTCAAGTGATCCCCCACCTCAGCCTCCCCAGTAGCTGGGACTATAGGCGTGAACCACTACTCCAAGCTTATTTTTTAAAACTTTCTGTAGAGACGAGGTCTCAGGCTTGTGTTTTTTTGCCCAGGCTCATGTCATATCTTTGATAAAATATGCTTGGCACAATGTCAGACACATAGATATGTACCTGTTATACAAACTTGGTCTCTGCTGAATGAACACACTGAATAGTCATTTTGCAAACAGAAAAGATTAAGTTAGATCATATCATGAAATAAAAGACACTTAAAGGAACTAAATATTCTGTGACTGAGTGTTGAATTAGCTTCTTTTTTATGATATGCTCAAATTACTTCAATCCTATATAAATGTTGAAAAACAAAGCAAGAGACACTCAGGGAAAAGTCAAAAACTTACAAGAAGCATCAGCATGAAGGATCCCATATAGATGATCAGGAAAAACAACGAGATCATAGTTAGAGTGAGAATTCCACGTATCCACCAGTTTTTCCACCTACAAAGAAAATGTAAAGTTAGTATTTAACGTGTTCTTAAGGTTTTTTGTGTGGTTTCAGTATTGATTTGCCAGATTTATGAATTTTCCTTAACTATAAGATTCTACTACTTCACTTTATATAACAAACAACAAAAACAAAAAACAAACAGCATTCATTCACACACTGGGAGATAAATTAACTTTTAAAGTTATGTTAGCCAAGAAAGAAAATAATTTTTCTTTTCTTTTTTTTTTTTTTTTTTTTTGAGACGGAGTCTCGCTCTGTCGCACCCAGGCTGGAGTGCAGTGGCGTGATCTCGGCTCACTGAAAGCTCCACCTCCTGGGTTCACGCCATTCTCCTGCCTCAGCCTCCCGAGTAGCTGGGACCACAGGTGCCCGCCACCACACCCGGCTAATTGTTTTGTATTTTTAGTAGAGACGGGGTTTCACTGTGTTAGCCAAGATGGTCTCGATCTCCTGACCTAATGATCTGCTTGCCTCGGCCTCCCAAAGTGCTGGGATTACAGGTGTGAGCCACCACGCCCGGCCAGAAAGAAAATAATTTTTGTTAAATGTGAGTGGGGAATAAACCGTGAGGTTAGGACGTTAGGTGGTCAGGGTGGATGTGAAAGTCAGGCATCCCACCAGGGACCACATGGAGGGGAAGAACGAGCCAGGTACAAAAGCCCTCAAAAGAGATGATGCCCAATTAGGATGGCAGATGAATACAGTCATGATTTTAAGAATATGATATAGACAGCATGGACTGCCAATGAGAATAAGTAATGAAAGATAATACCGAACTAAAACTGGAAAGAACAGTGATTTCAGTGAAATGAAGGAGTGAGGTGCCAGTTACCTAAGAGGTCAGCCACTGAGGATAAAGACAGATGGAAGGACACTTCTGTTGTTCAAAGTGTATTGACTGCTTTCTTTGATTAGGGACAAAGCCTTTAGTAAAAGTATTTCCTTGGCCGGGCGTGGTGGCTCACGCCTGTAATCTCAGCACTTTGGGAGGCCGAGGTGGGCAGATCACGAGGTCAGGAGATCGAGACCATCCTGGCTAACACGGTGAAACCCCGTCTCTACTAAAAATACAAAACAATTAGCCGGGCATAGTGGTGGGCGCCTGTAGTCCCAGCTACTTGGGAGGCTGAGGCAGGAGAATGGCGTGAACCCGGGAGGCGGAGCTTTCAGTGAGCCAAGATCGCGCCACTGCACTCCAGCCTGGGCGACTGAGCGAGACTCCGTCTCCAAAAAACAAAGTATTTCTTTATCCTTGGGCCTTTCTTTGCTCCTCAGAGCAGAGCTTTCCTGCTGGTACACCAGCTGGTCCTTGCCATGCTGAGAACTGGTCTCCCTCAACCCTCGCTGTAAGGGCCTGGCATGCCCGACCGCACCCCACCACCGCCACAAGCCTCACACTTCATCCCCATTGTGCCATACAAATAATCACTCCTTGTGTTACCATGTCATATAAACTGTTGGCAGCTCTGTATGAAAAATCCAGAATTTCTGAATGCTCCTATATACAAATGATGACTTCTATATTTAGAATTGTCGCTGTTTTTCTTTAGGACTTTTCTGATTTTTATTAATTCAACTGGTAGCATTTAAATTATGTTACAAGAGATTTTGATTCAACTTAAAGTCTAGTAACATATATGCAGTGTATTCTAAGCACAAGTCCTCACTCCTTTTTTTTAAAAAAAAATAGAGACAGGGTCTTACTATCTTGCCCAGGCTGGTCTCTAACTCCTGGGCTCAAGTGATCCTCCTGCCTTGGCCTCCCAAAGTGCTGGGATTTCAGGTGTGAGCCACCATGTCCAGCCCTCATTCCCTTCTTAGAACAGAAATATTAGCTGCCTTCATAAGGTATAGAATTGCTTCAGCCCAGGAGTTTGAGACCAGCCTGGGCAACACGGTAAAAACCCAGCTCTACAAAACATGCAAAACTTAGCTGCGCGTGGTGGTACTCACCTGTGGTCCCCGATACTGAGGGGCGGGGGGAGTGGGGGGAGAGGAGGCGGGGCATGTTGGGGGCTGAGGTGGGAGGAACACTTGAGCCCAGGAGGTCAAGGCTGCAGTGAGCCATGATTGTGCCACTGCACTCCAGCCTGGGTGGCAGAGCAAGATACTGTCTCTTAAAAAAAAAAAAGATTACATTCCTTGCTTTCAACCACTCTCCAATATAGTTTAAATACTTCCAACAAATACTCTTTTCAAATATTCCTTTTATCATGTCATTTCTACACACAGGATCTAAAATACCAACATACCAACAACATACATTTTTTTCCAGCTTATGAGTTTCTTCATAAGGTAGTCAAATTGCATTCATTCAACTTTATTTCCCTCTATTGTTTAACAAACTATGTAGACATAAACTTCTCATGAGAGCATGAGCATGAGGCAGAACTAAAAATGAGTGTAGAGTCAAAAATGCTATGGCTAAAAGGCCCCATGTAGTTGTACAGATATAACTGTTTGTGGATTAATGGATGGATTAGAAAACTGGGCTAGGTCGCAAATCTAGTCAGAGGTAAATAAAGGACCACAAGCCAAGGCAAAATCCTGTCTCTATAAAAAATACAAAAATTAGCCAGGCATGTTGGCTCATGCCTGTAGTCCCAGTTACCTGGGTGGCTGAGGTGGGAGGATTGCTTGAGCCTGAGAGGTAGAGGTTGTGGTGAGTTGAGACTGCACCACTGCACTCCAGTCTAGGCAACAGAGTGAAACCCTGTTTTAAAAAAAAAGTAAGGGAAGGGCATAAAACTTGACCAAGGGATTTCCCTTTTAGGACTTTATCCTAAGGAAATAATTAATGGATGTTAAAATAAAGTTACTACAAAGAAAAATGTTTAATGTAGAGGTATTTTTAATTGTGAACATTTAGTAATATACTAAATGCCCAGCAATAGGTGGTCAGTTGGATAAACTAGACCATAGCCATGCAGCAAAATATACAGACATTAAAAATGTTTCTGAAATATATTTAGGATCCTGCATGAAATGTTGTTCCTAATAATACCATGGAATGAAAATTAAAACAGTAAGGTAGAAAACAGTACAATCTCATTTTTGCTTTACACACATCCATACATACACACACATACACACACACACACACACACACACACTGCACAAGAAAAAAGCCTCAAAGGGTAAACACTGAAGTATTCTAAATATTAATGTCTTGGTAGGAGGATTACAGGATTTTTTTTTCTGCAAGTAATGTACATTTCTTATGTAATTACTATTTTTAATCCTATGTATCTACAAATTCTAAGTCTTTGCAAGACAGTCTGTTTTCAATATTAGACTAAAAACAGGATAAAAATGTATAAAACAGATTACATGTAAAACATTCATGTAATCTTTGTAGAAAAGTTTCTCGAGAAGATTGAAACCACTATATTATCTATTGTTCATTTTCTAAAACCAATTCACTCATAAATAGCATAGATAAGAATACAGGCATTGAAGCCACAGTACCTAGGTTCAGAATGTGGGTCCATAACTTACTAGCTACATGACCCTTGATATATAATATCTGCCTACGTTTCCACATTTATATACCTGTGTTACAAGGCTGCCATGAGAATATTAGTCAATACATATAAAGTGCCTGAAACAATACTAGTACATAGTAAATGCTAAATAAATATTAGCTGCTAGTATTTGCTATTGTTACTTTATATCAGAAAAAAACAACTTCATGATTAAGGAAGATCTTATTATGAATGACACACACAAATCTGGCATCATTCTTACAGAACATCGACTACACAAAATTTCAGGTCTGAGATAGACTTGATGAGATTTTAATGCAAAGTTATATCTGGGAATTAGGTCATGAAAACAACTGGGAACAAGAACTATTAAAATAATCATGCTTTTCATAGCAGATCAAAGATATGTTCTATTGGTTAAAAAATATGAAAATGTTGCTTTTAACCAATATATTCTAATATGGTTATCCCTTACAAAGTAAAAAAAAAAAGAAAAATTCATATTACATTTACTAGATACGACTAAACTAGTGGTTTTCAGATCGCAGGCTATGACCCAAGGGTAGTAAAATCCATTGAATAAGTTACATGTAGCATTTTTTGTTCAATAACATAGAACAGCATCAAATACAAAAGAAATCAGAGGGTATTACACAGTAATGGGAAGAATTGTTTCATAACATTTTTGCAGCAGTTAAAATATACATTTGTGTGTCTTGGAATGTGGTATACAATGTATTTCTTACTGTGTCATAGTGTCAAAAAGTTGGGGAAACATTGTTCTTTCTACACCAATATGTAACATTTCATACATTAATCTGGACAAAAGCTTAGGTTTACTTTGCTTTTATAAATTTTATAATTCATATTACTAAAGTATACAATGAAGGGTAATATAATTAGCTGAAATTTTGTGGTCATCACACATTTTTAAATGTTGCACAAATATAAAATGGTAATGGATTGTGGAGTTTTAGACAATAATCTTAAACTCAGTTAAAAGAAAAGAAAATACTGGCCTGGTGCCATGTTTCACGCCTGTAATCCCAGCACTTTGGGAGGTCAAAGTGGGCAGACTGCTTGAGCCCAGGAGTTTAAGACCAACCTGGGCAATGTGGTAAAACCCCATCTTATTTAAAAAATGAAAGAAAGAAAAGAAAAAAGAAAAAAATACCTATTTCTGTCTGGCATTTGAAAAATAGGGAACAGAGACTATGGAGTTTTATTAGGTGTTCTAATACCAGAAAAAGCAATGTGACGTGGTAAATAGATCACAGGCTTCAGAATCTGACAGCCCAAGGCAAGAATCCCAGGTCTATATCTTACTAGCTCTGTAGCCTTCAACAATTAACCTCTCAGCCTTGGTTTTCTTATACTTCACAAGGTTTTAAGGGTGGATACACATTAAATACATAGAACTATACCTCGGATATTAGGTGGCCTTTTTGACCACCTAATACCATGGCTGGAAAACTTACAAAAAGCCAAATTTATTACATGGACAAGGATAACCTCAAAGCCTATCTTGTGCACTAAGATATACTCATCTTCATCCAATCATACCTTGAAGATAAACCAGATAGAGCTTTTTTGAGAATCTCAGGGGTTCTATCTGAGGATGGTGGAATTTCCGGAATATCAGAATCTGTTCTGGAATCCAAATCTCCATATCTGTCATCAATATCTGTTTCCTAAAATTAAAAAGACAAATTACTTTGCAAAATCACGTTTAAAAAAGCACAGGCTGGCCAATACATTCATTTATTGCTCAGTGTGTCAAATCTCAGTGACATAATCTGAAACAAAGAAACTACTATTTATCTTGAAAATCTTAGCACTGCTATACTTCTTTGTTAGGAAAGTTTGACTATCTTCGCTAAAATCTACTACTAATAATACAAAGGATAACTTTAAACAAAAGACACAAAAGAAGCTCCCATATTTTCTAAATCAGAAATATACCCCTAAAATCAGATGTTTTGCCACTTAACTGGGAGATCACGGTGTTAGTTCCATGTAGATTCTGATCAGCTGTTGAGTCCCTTTTTAAATTTGATTTCAATTAAAGCATCAACAGTAAGAGTAATATCTTACACGAGCGTAGCATTTCATATATATTTGTAAACATTTCAACTTCCATCATTTTTATTAGATCCTCAAGAGAGAATCCCAATTGAAGCAGGTCAAATGGACCTCATCTCTATTTTACTGGTAGGTAAACTATGATCAACAGCATTTGGTGATGAGATTTTTAAAGAAGTTATTTAAAACACAAACCGACTTCTGAGTGCATGTACAGGAGCTGCGTGAGTATGTTGGAGATGGCAGGGAGCTCTAGGCCTTTCAACAAAGGTGGTCACTGCAGAATTTCCAGGGATAGGGTGATCAATGCAATTTTCAAAACAGAAATGTCATCTAATGCTCAGTTTTAAAGTTGTTCATTCTGCTGTAAGTCTCCACTGCCATGTTCTTTCCTCTTCTACAACCTCTCCCGCCTCAGGCCCTACCCTTTCCATCCTACCCTGGCAACCTTCAGTTATGAGTGGTGAACACACAGAAACCTTGGGAGAATGGCTTACAGAGGAGGAAACTGGAGTGAGGGTGTTGAACTGGGATAGAGGAAAGAGAATATTCCCTGGAGGCAAATACAAATAGAGCATTGAGCAGGATATCAAGCCTGAAATAATCCTAGGAATAAAAGCACCCAACAATTCAGAATGTTGAGGATTCTCAATCCAAACTCAGCCCTTATTAGCTCCAAAACATTGGCAAATGTCATCACCCCTTCGAACTGTTTCTTCATCCCTAAAATGAAGCATTTAGTATAATGCCAAGGACTTAGTAAATTCAAATAAGCAGTAAGATAATATTATGATTGAATCAAGTCTTCTAATTCCTCATTAGGAGGCTCACCAAATATAATGTTAGTCTTCGGGAGTATTTTCAGTTTTCATAAAGCACTAATAAACTTTAGTTTACTCACTTTTTAAGTACACAATTACGAAATTAAATGTGTCAACGTACCCTAAATTACAAATGAGAAATAGAAATGTCAAATTCCCACTGTGACACCGAGAGTCAGTTGGCCCTGAAGCTGCTTAAATAGAGAGAGATGGTAACTAATAAACAACCAGATAGAACATCCCTTCAGAAAATGGCAGGGCACCTGCCGTCAGTCTGGTAAGCCACAGAGCTTGGACATCTAGAACAAGGGAAACACATCAGTTTTTTTTTTCTTTTCCCTGCCATTTTCTTTTCACCTTTAATAACCCAGAGTATTGACAGGAGTGGTGTGAGGGGTAGTGGGGTTGGTGACTAATGGAAGTGGTTCTCTAGGGCAGTATCACCATCCTACAAAAAGAGCATGAGACTAGGAATCAGGAGTTACTAGCTCTAATTCCACCTCTACTCTAACTAGCAGTGAGACAAACAGCAAATCACTTAATCTGAAGGAAACTCAGGCCTTGGTTTCCTTATTTATAAAATACTAAAACCATTAGACTAGCATTCAAATTGTGCTCCTCAAAATATTAAAGTTCTCTGCAAGCCACTTCAAAGTCCACTTTGCAGTAATGGTGATGCGCTGCAACCCTCCCCTCCTCACCCTCAACAAGGCTGTCCTGCTTTTATTTATATTATTTAAGCTTCTGATTTCTATTTTATACCCTTTAGAGAAACACAAAATAAAAACTTAAATTGCACCAGGAGTCTTTCATTCAGTAATTAAAGAATACAAGACAATTTCTAAATAGTGGCATTTTGGAGCAACGTTACTCAACTATGAGAATGAGTAGCAGGGGCCCTTGTTTTACTGTATTTAATGTATAGACTCTGTTGCAAAGATGCTAGACTTGAAAAGGAAAATAAGAGTGTGAATGGAGATCAGGGAAAAGAAGGAAGTACTATAATACTTTTAATGATCAAATAGAGCCATGCGGCACTGTGCATGTTGAATGAAGGTATGTATGTACGTACGTATGTATGTATGTATGTATGTATGCATGTATGTATTTATTTATTTGAGATGGAGTCTCACTCGGCCACCCAGGCTGGAGTGCAGTGGTGTAATCTCAGCTCACTGCAGCCTCTGCCTCCCAGGTTCCAGCGATTCTCCTGCCTCAGCCTCCCGTGTTGCTGGGATTACAGGTATGCCCCACCAGGCCCGGCTAATTTTTGTATTTTTAGTAAAGATGGGGTTTCACCATGTTGGCCAGGCTAGTCTCGAACTCCTGACCTCAGGTGATCCGCCCGCCCTGACCTCCCAAAGTGCTGGGATTACAGGGGTGAGCCACCGTACCTGAATGAAGGCATTTAAAATGTTTACAAGAACCTAAAAATTCGTAGCTGCTTCTTCTCCAGGTCATAATTTAAAGATAATGATCCTCAACTTTCTATCTTGGGCCTGTGTTCTCCCACCACCACGTGATCTCATGGACCCCATACACGGATGATTCCCCGTAAACTTATGTCTCCAGCTTCCAACATGCCATCTCCAGGTGGTTTTCCACTGGCATCATTTGAAATTCAACAGAAGCAATGGACTTCTCTCTCTTCCACATCAAAATGCTGCCTCCTTCTGTAATTCCTTCTTTGGAGAAGATACTACTGCCAATCCAGTTAACCAATTACTCAGGTCAGAAACTTAGGCACCACCTTAACACTTGACATCTGCCTCCTTTAACCAAAACATTCAGTCGGCACCAAGTCTGTCATTTGTCTTTCCCTCCATGTCTTTTTCTTTTGCTCTTTTTTTTTTTTTTTGAGACAGGGTCTTACTCTGTCACCTAGGCTGGAGTGCAGTGGCGTGATCTTGGCTCATGGCAACCTCAGACTCCTGGGCTCAAGCCATCCTCCCACCTCAGCCTCCTGAGTAGCCGGGACTACAGGCATGCACCACCGCACCTGGCTAATTTTTTTTGGCATTTTTCATAGAAATGGTGTATCACCATGTTTCCCAGGCTGGTCTTGAACTCCTGGGCTCAAGCAATCCACCTGCCTTGGCCTCCCAAAGTGCTGGGATTACAGGTGTGAGCCACCGTGCCCAGCCTCCCTCCATTTCCATTCTCATTCACTGCTGCAAGCCTTGCTGAGCATCACCTTCTTCTGTAAACATCCCAGAAGGCTTTTTTGAAGAAATTTTTCTAAAATGTCTATGAAAATGCAAAGAACATAGAAGAGCCAAACAAGTTTGGAAAGAGAATAAAGTTGAAGGACTTATATTACCTGTTTTCAAGAGTTCTTATAAAGCTACTGTAATCAAGACAATGTGGTATTGACAAAATAGACAAAATGATCAATGGAAAAGAATAGTCCATAAATAAACCTACATACATATGGTCAACAGATTGACAACAAAGTTGCAAAGGTAATTCTATACATGGTACTGGCACAATTTTAACAAAAAACCTTGATCCATACCTCACACCACAGATAAAAATTAAATCAAAACAGATCAGACATTTATATAAAGCTATAAATCTTACATAAACTCTCTGGGACCTTGGTTAGGCAAAAATTTCTTAGTATGATAACAAAATTATTATCCTCCAAAAAAATGATAAATATAACTTCATCAAAATTAGAATTTTCTTTTCTCAAAAGATACTAAGAGAATGAGAAGACAAGTCACAGAACGAAACATATTTTCAAATCACATATCTAACAAAGGACTTGTAATCTGGAATACATAAAGAACTCTCAAAATTCGACAAGGAAACAATAAATGAACAAAATATTTGGACAGACATTTCAGGGGCAATGCACAGATGGTAAATAAACATATGAAAATATGTTCAACATTATTAGTCATTAAGGCAATGCAAGTCAAAATCACAATGTGATTCTACCATACATCTATCAGAATGGGTGAAATTTTAAAATTGAACAACCAAATGTTGGAGAAAATCTGGAGGAACTGAAAGGCTTGCGCACTGCCGGTGAGAATGTAAAACAGTACAACCAGTTTGGAAAACAGTATCACAGTTTTTTTAAAAATTACATATACAACCAACAACTGACCCAGCCATTTCACTCCTAGGTATTTACCCAAGATAAACTGAAGTGTAGATACAAGCAAAGACTTGTGCACAAATGTTCATGGTAGCTTTACTCGCAATAGCTCCAAACTAGGGACAACTCAAATAGCCAACAGGGAAATGGACAAATTATGTTACTTTCATACAGTGGAATATTCTCTTGTGATAAAAATAAGTGAACAATTGATACATGGATGAATCTCAAAATAATTATGCTGAGTAAAAGAAGCCAGACAAAATGTACATGTAATACATATATATATATATACACACACACGTATTATATTATTCCATTTATATAAAATTCCAGAAAATGCAAACTCATCTATAGTGCCAGAAAGCAGATTAGTACGTGTCTAAGGATGAGGGAAGAACTACAAAAAGGGGCAAACTTTTAGTGGTGATAGACTAGCTCATTATCTTGATTATAATGATGGCTTCATAGGCATATATATATATATATATATATATATATATATATATATATATATATGTGTGTGTGTGTCAAAATTTGCCAAATTATATTTGCTATGGAATGAATGTTTCTGTCCCTGCCAAAAAACAAATTATACAATGAAGTGCAATTTTCCAATGTAATGTTATCTGGAGGTAACCTTTGTAAGATAATGAAGTCAATTAGGTAATTAGGGTGGAGACTCACAAATGGGTTTGGTGCCCTTATAAAGAGGCACAAGAAATAATCTCTCCACCACGGGAGGACACAGCAAGTTATCTGTCTGCAAAGGGCTCCCAGCAGGAACCAAATTGGCCAGCATGTTTATCTTGAATGTCCAGCCTCCAGATTTATAAGAAATCAATTCCTGTTGTTTAGGCTACAGTATTTTCATTATAACATCTTGAGCTAAGATAGCACTTTAAGTGTACTCAATTTAGTGAGTATCATTTATAGTTCATGGGGACTCTTAAAGAGCAGTCCAGGAAAGAGAACTGAGGTGCTTCCCAATACTGAGGACAAAAAGGACAAGAACAAGGACAAGGGGCTCAGGGAACAAAGGATATAGTTCATCAAGAGGATGATTCCATCATTACACACTGTACACAGGTTTCAAAATATGACACTGTACTCCATAAACATATACAACTATTATGTCAGTTGAAGTAAAAAAGAGCTGGGCGCAGTGGCAAGCAGCTATTTCCAGCTATTCAGGAAGCTGAGGTAGGAGGGCCTCTTGAGCCCCGAAGTTAGAAACCACCCTGGGCAACATAGCAAGATCCCACCTGAAAATAAATTAATTAAAATAAGAATCAAAATTTTAAAAATAGATGATGGCTCCAAAAGGAAGTCTCTAAACAAATGAAGGTAAAGCAGTGGTTAAAAATGCAACAAAGGATAATATATTAAATCACTCATACTTTTCATCTCTTTTACAACTGGCCCCTTAAAAAGTGAGTATACATATGTAACAAACCTGCACGTTGTGCACATGTACCCTAAAAGTATAATAATAATAAAATTAAAAAAAAAAAAGAAAAAGAAAAAAAGTGAGTTAGAAAACCAGGGTCAGCTCTTCCGTCAAGAATCCCTTGATGTGGACACTGATCCCTGTAGCTCAGTTCAGCATTAAGATTTGCAATTAAGCCAAAGGAAACCCACAGAGACATAGAGCTCCACACCTGAAAGGAGGCAGCCTTTTAAAAATCTTGAAACTAAACAGTTTTACTTGAAAGAACATGAGGCTGTGCTCCTGATTTCAACATTTTCTGTCTGTTTCTTCATGGTTTTCTTTTTCTTTTTCTTTTTTTTTTTTTTTGGAGATGGAGTCTCGCTCTGTCACCCAGGCTGGAGTGCAGTGGCACGATCTCGGCTCACTGCAATCTCTGCCTCCCGGGTTCACGCCATTCTCTCCCCTCAGCCTCCCGAGTAGCTGGGACTACAGGCGCCCGCCACCACGCCCGGCTAATTTTTTGTATTTTTAGTAGAGACGGGGTTTCACTGTTTTAGCCAGGATGGTCTCGATCTCCTGACCTCGTGATCTGCCCACCTCGGCCTCCCAAAGTGCTGGGATTACAGGCATGAGCCACCGCACCCGGCCTTCTTCATGGTTTTCATACAGGCATGGATTCCTTCTCTTTCTCCCAGGAGTGGAAGTGAAGAGAAGGAACTGCTTTCTATCTGTGCTGGGGAGAAGGACTAAACTGATTTAATTCCTAGTGAGTCAGCAGTTTGGTGAACGAAGAGTGAGGAAGCTCAAGGCCTCTACAATGATAGAGAATAGTCAAGGGACTTAGTAACACTGTTTTGTTTCTTTTGAGGCAGGGTCACCCAGGTTGGAGTGCAGTGCACTATCATGACTCACTACAGCCTCACCGTCCCAGGCTCAAGCGATCCTCCCACCTCAGCCACTCAAGCAGCTGGGACTACAGGTGGGGCCACCACACCTGGCTAATTTTTTGTTATTTTTTGTAGGGACAGGGTCTCCCTATGTTGCCCAGGCTGGTCTCAAACTCCTGGACTCAAGCAATCCTCCCACCTTGGCCTCCCAAAGTGCTGGGATTACAGGTGTGAGCCACTGCTCCCACAACACTGTATTTTATAGACAGAAATCTGGTTACCTCATTCATCAGCTCTGTGGTCCTATCCTACACTAATTAATGATAATTGATAAAGCCTCCTTATTTTTTTTTAATTTGAACTGCAAAGGGAAAGACTCGTCCCCAAATCTTTCTCCGCAGCCCTGTTCTATTCCCCACTGAAGGAAGGAGGTGACTGGTTGGTCCAGTGTACCACTTTACTAATCCAATCAGGAGTTACACTTTGTGGTGGATCCCAATGCTTGGATAAGAGAAAACCAAATGTGTCTCAACATAACATAAAATGCCTGAGTAAAAGGCAAACCTGATTACATCATCCACCTACCTCCTCATCACAGGGTATAAACCCAGCCTCCTCTTACTCTCCAGCCAGGGCTTTGGCCACACCCACCCAGCCACTCCAGGCTCTGCAGAACTAAAGCTTCTGCGCTCCCCACAGTGTGAAGAGTCTTAGCCTCTCAATATTGTGCTACGGTATTCTTCTATTTATAACTTACGCTCTTCCTCTTTGAGCCTGGCTTTGCCTGACTGGTGCCTATTTATCTTTAAGGTATCAGCCTAGATGTAATTTCTAGAAAACTCTTCTTCAGGGAGCCTGTCAAGGGCAAAATAATGGTTCCCTCCCCACTCCCCCCACCAAGATATTCACGTCTTAATCCCAGAACATGTGAAGATGTTGGTACAATTCAAGGGAGAATTAAGGAAGTGGGCAGGATTAAGTTTGCTAATCAACTGATCTTGACGTGGTGAGCTTATCCTGGATTATACAGGTGAGTCTAATATAATCACAAGGGTCCTTATAAGTGGAAGACTGGAGGATCAGAGTCAGAGAAGAGATGACAGAAGCAGAGGTATAGTGATGCTGGTTTTGAGCAAGGAGTAAGAGGCCACCAGCCAAGGCATGCTGTTAGCCTCTAGAAGCTAGAAAAGGCAAGGAAACAGATTTTCCCCTGCAGCCTGCAGAAGGAACATGGTCCTACCGGGACATCTTCACTTTAGCCTAGGGAGACCCATTTTGGACTTCTGAGCTCCAGAACTGTAAGGTAAGTTTATATTATTTTAAGACACTAAGTTTTTAGTGATTTGTTTTAGCAGCAATCAGAAGCTAGGGGAGCTCCTCAGCCCATTTTGTGCAACTCTTCGCATGCCAACATTTGTATGACATGTTTTGATTGCCTGTTCACCCAGCAGTCTCACCCACCATGGCCATTCCTGCAACCAGGAGCTTGGTGAGTATGTGCTGAGAGAATTATGACTGTCATCTCTCTATCCCCAAATGGAATCGGGCCAAGTCTTCCAGGCTACAGTATTGCTGCTCTGTTTTTTGCCATTCCTAAGATGCTATCTACAATATTCAAATCTTACTTAATTTTAAGGCCCATTTTAAGACTTTCCTAGATGTTTGGCTCCTTCTGATCTTTCTCCAGTGATATCTCATTCTATTATACATTAAGATCACACTATTTTGTATGGTTTCATTTATGTAAGTCTTAAATTCCAAATTAAGAATAAAGATCACTAGAAGAAAAAAACTCCATGGAATTACACAAAAGAACAGAGAAAATTAAGGAGTTTCACTCAAAATCTGAATTATTACTGCCATCCCAAACTTGTTTTTTACCTGAGATCTTATTAATGATTGGTTCTCACAGGTACATCACTTTTTCAGGGCTAAGATAAATAATGCCTCCAGCTTTTCTGCCTTGCCTTCATTTAGAGTGAGAAACAAGTACGGTTGGCCCCCTCACATTTGTGGGTTCCATATTCGTGAATTTAACCAGCCTCAGATGAAAAATATTCAAAGGGGAAAAAAAGGTGGTTGCATCTGTACTAAACACATAGATTTTTTTCTTGTCATTATTCTCTAAACAATACAGCATACTATATTGTACAACTACAGTATGCAACTATTTATGTAGAATTTACATTGTATGAGGTATTATAAATAATTGAGAAATAAAAATAAAAGCCCAAGCCCCCCCAGCTGACTGAACAAACCCCTTCTTGGCCAAAGGGACACCAGAGAAACTTCGGAAACTGAGTTCCAGCCACGATAGGACAGGAGGTTGGACATGCCTCAGTATGCCCCTTCCTTATTAACCTTTAGCCAGAATTCTTTCCTAAGGAGTAAGCAGAAACCAGCTCCAGAAAACAAGAAACAGAGTACCCTTTCTTTTATCACCTTTAGCCAGTCATCTGAGGCTGCTACTGGACTCTCCCTCTTTGCAGCTTTGATATGACAGCTTGCCAGTTTCACAATGCACCCCTTTCCTAAAAACTGACCATCACCAGACTGATTTTGGCCACCTCTTGGATGATGTGCTTTGAGGGTTTTCATATCCTGTGCTTCACCTTTGAGAGCACTTTGGGAGCCCGAGGCAGAAGGACTGCTTGAGCCAAGGAGTTTGAGACCAGCCTGGACAACATAGGGAGACCCCATCTCTACAAAAAAAATGTAAAAATTAGCTGGGCATGGTGGTGCATGCCTGTGGTCCCAGGAACTCGGGAGGCTGAGGTGGGAGGATCACTTGAGCTTGGGAAGTTGAGCCTGCAGTGAGCAATGACCCATAGATATGGAGAGCCAACTGTGTATATATGGCAAGATAAAGCAAATTTAGCAATCTCTTAATAACAGTTAAGTCCTAGGTATGCTGATGATCATTGTACTAACCTTTTAACATTTTGATATTATTAAAAAGTTACAATAAAAAAGTAGGGAAAACTTTAAAACTAATATTGAGACTCAGGACATATTACCCTAAAATATGACTATAGAGAACTAGAATATGCCACCCCAAAATATACTTCTTTGGTATATTTCAAGATTATAATTCTGAGAAACTGCAGACACATTAGTAGCTCTGAAATGCAGTTATTTTGTAAAAAAAAAATGTATATCTATAAAGGAAATCTACATTAGTAAAGTATTTGTATAAGGAAGACAGCTGCTCTGAGACAACTTTCATTACCTGAGAGACTATCCGCATAACAAGACAGCCTTTATTCACCATGCATTTCCTCCCCTTACCCTCCCAGAACTTGCGTGGCCAGCACCCCTTAGAAGCTGAATAGGTTCCGTTCAGTATCTCAGGGTGCTATATAAACTTCAAAAATCTGACCCTTCTTTCCTGTTTTGTTTTGCACATATGTAATTAAACAAGAGAAAAATGGTTTTTCTCTTGTCTTATGTCAATTTAATTTGCAGCCCAGCCAAGAAACCTAGAAGGGTTTTCACTCCCCTACACTAAATAATATATTGATTGAGGTGAAAAAAGAAAAATAGCTCTGAGCTGACCCAGCTATGTGAGGTATGTAAAATTTATCAGGCCCCAGAGTATGGGACTTCAGTCACACCCCCACACCCGTGCCTGGGAGCAATTACTTAAAGGCATTTTGTTTCAGACTCGCTGCCTCACCCCTTATCTTCCTGGAATTTATGATGCAAAGAACAATGTGTAGCCAATCAATAGTTTATTTTAATCTAAATTCTTGTTAAACAATTTAGGATCTGCCTTTTCTTTTTTCCTTAAAAACCCACTTGTAGGCCAGCACGGTGGCTCATGCCTGTAATCCCAGCACTTTGGGAGGCCGAGGTGGGTGGATCACTTGAGGTCAGGAGTTCGAGACCAGCTTGGCCAACATGGTGAAACCCCGTCTCTACGAAAATACAAAAATTAGTCAGGCGTAGTGGAGAGCGCCTGTAATACCAGCTACTCAGGAGGCTGAGGCAGGAGAATCGCTTGAATCTGGGAGACAGAGGTTGCAGTGAGCCAAGATTGTGCCACTGCACTCCAGCTTGGGTGACAGAGCAAGACTCTATCTAAACGAGAAAAAAAAAACAAAAAAAACCTTGTAACTGCTGCTGATCAGAGTGTATACTCAGGGCAACTTGAATCTAAGCTCCAGAGTGGCCATCCTCAAGCTTTGAGCTCAAATAATCATACATTTGAAATTCATTATTAAAGGCGACAGAGGATGCAAACATATGTTGTAAACCTATCAAGACAAAGAAGGAATACCTCTGAGGGGATAAGTCACCCAGATCGCTAGCTAGTATCCTTATCTTCTTGTATACTTTGTATACCTTTTTGTACCAACCTCATATTTATTAAAAGCAGTATACATTATTATAAATGGGACTACTACAAGCAGAATTCCAGGGGGCACTATCTACATTGAACTCTACATGAATAGTGTCCCATAGAATTGTTCGAAGCCTCAACTCTGAGACGGTTCAAGTACAAGCATAGTAAGTAGATGAAAAAATAAAAAGCACAACCTTGAAAGACGAGTCTAATTTGGTTTCCTGAATCTGGATTTTTATATATTGAGATAAAATGTGAACTTCCAGATGGGCTTAATAAATATTCATTGACCCACAGACAGCCCCATATTGTTTGTGAAATGACCTGCTTGGGACTGGAAGGTAGCAGTGAGCCACAACTTAACTGTCAAGATGTCTGATCCCACCTGGGTCACCCAGGTGATGAAGTCAGATTGGCTACATCAGCCTTGCAGAAAGCTCTTAAATAGTTGGCCATGGGTTCCGGCAAATAAAGGGAACTACAACCATAGCCAGGAAGCAGAAAAGCAACACTGCTTTCTTAGCTGCGTTGTTTGCAAAAAGCAGCTATAAATTTCCATAGATAAGAGTCCACTCTGGACTGGACTCTTTTTTCTCCCATCCTGTGCCTTTCAATTTCATATTTTAAAAGTTTAAAATCTTGACAGTTCTGAGAAAGTCTTAAGCAAACAAACATTCAATGACATGACCTGAAAAATATCTTTCACCTCATTTTGAGGATAAGAAAATAAGTAAATACTTACATAATAAACTTGGTGTATCTCAGGGATGATCAAAAACCAATTGGTTGGCTGGGCACAGTGGCTCACGCCCATAATCCCAGCACTTTGGGAGGCCAAGACAGGTGGATTACTTGAGGTCAGGAGTTCAAGACCAGCCCGGCCAACATGGTGAAACCCCATCTCTACTAAAAATACAAAAATTAGCTAGGCTTTTGTGCTGCGTGCCTGTAATCCCAGCTACTTGGGAGGCTGAGGTGGGAGAGTTGCTTGAAACGGGGAGCGGGGGAGGCGAAGCTTGTAGTGACCCAAGATCGTGCCACTGCACTCCAGCCTGGGTGACAGAGTGAGACTCTGCCTCAAAAAAAAAAAAAAAAAAAAAAAAAAATTGGTCATTAATGAAATTACTTCCTCTCCATTTCTAGAGTTGTTTCAAAATGTGATGTCATTCTCATTAAATAAGTTCTGAAACATTTCTCAACCAAATAAAGTATAAACAGCTATAAAATGAAATAAAGGCTAATGATTTCTTGAAATTGATCATAAGTAAGCGATGAAACACTTGAAGTGCTGTTTTAAATCTAGGCGCCTGAAATCACCCAATGACAGGCTTTCAGCTAAAAATTTCTAATCCGCTGCCAACATTTCATAGATTCAAAAAGACCAAATTAGTCCAAAGTCACACAAGGTAGTAACAGTAAAAATTTTCTTAATGTTTTAAATTGATTTTATACATTTAGGACCACACATCTGATTTCTCCTTTACATTTTTTAATTAGAAAATTTAAGGTAAATCCTGGCTCTAAATACCATGATTCTGAGCAGGGCATTTAGGCTGTCAAATTCCAATTTTCTCATATGTAAACTAAACCTATCTCCCTTGCCTATATAATTGTTAAAAGACTAAAATTGATATTAAGTATAAGCAAGTATTTTGCAAATTATAAATTATTTTGCACTAAAAAATTAGTTTATATCATTATTCCATGCAGGGAAAGTCCATAATTCAAGAGATTAATATATTCTACAATCAGTTGTTGAGCAACAAACAAATCCTGACACCACCTCTTTTCTCAAAGAGTATAAAAAAGCCACCAAAAAGTAACATTCAAGCAGTGTCTTGCTTATAATAGGCACTCAACAAGCATTTACTGAATGCACAGAACCAAACCAAGCCTCAAGAAATATGTTTATAATTTCTTAAATGACCTATGTTCTTTACACTGAAATAAAATCTGTATTTTTGGAAAAGACATCCCCAAATATAAAATGGTTAAAGGAAAACAAACATGCCAAACCCCTGTATTTATCTGTGTTATCTGGGAAGAAATGTGAGAGTCTATTTTACAAAAATGAAATTCATAAACACATAAAGAATACTCATACTACATGTGTATATATCTTAATTTTTCTTCATACTTTTCCAGAGGACATTAAATTGTCCCACTTTTCCCCAGTATATTTTGACAAACAAAATATTGTTTGTGTTAAAAAGGAAAAGAAACTTTTATTTTGAAGAATATGAGTCTCATTAAATTATCAGGCCCCGAGAGGCATTTAAAATGTGTCAGCAGTCATGTCTCTCACCGTTTGAGCTAAACAATTACCTCTTCGAGCCACTTGCTATGTTGGCTCTGGACTGATACCATGTAGCCATAAAATACCATATACTAGACATTGTACCTCATACCTTACATTTTAAAACTGAATAGCCAATCATTCATCAATATTATCTCTGTAAGGCAATGAGAATTCCTGTCAAACAACTTTGTACCAGCCCATTCCCTGTTCCTTTTTGCCTTTAAAAACTTGCTTATAACAAAGGCCAACCAAGGCACACCCCCAGGCAACTTGGAAGTATGTCCCAGGCAGTGTACTCACTTTGGCTCAAGTAAAGTCTTTAAATTTGGCTCAAGTATTGTCCTTAAATTCTATGTTATGCCTCAGCTTCTTCCTTAGGATGACAGCATCAAAAAAACCCACTGTGGTACACATCCAAAGCTTGATGTAGTTGATGACATTCTATGGTAGTATCTCTCAAAATAATAAGAAAATGAACTGTTTAAAGATCATAAACACTAAGTGAAAATTCACATGGTAACCCTCAGATATTCTTTAGAAATCTCAAGTTAACTACCATTCCTAACCCGCACATAGCTTACTATTACATTACCATGCCTTTAGATTCACTCTTTTATTAGTATAACTTGAGTATTCCTGGAAACTCTTGCTAGGAGTTCATGATGTTTACAAGAATTTCTAAAAGACACATCAACTCTTTGAAAGGAAGCATCAATGAACAGTTTAGTCCTAAGACTCTTTGAAAATGTTTGCCTCAAAATCCTTATCTGGCTTATCTACTAACCCCAAATTGTTATATTGTGACCCTTACCCAATCCTAATCAATTCCCCACATTGAAAGACCTGCCTTAGGCTGGGTGAGGTGGCTCATGCCTGTAATCCCAGCACTTTGGGAGGCCAAGGCGGGCAGATCACAAGGTCAGGAGATTGAGATCGTCCTGGCTAACACTGTGAAACCCCGTCTCTACTAAAAATACAAAAAAATTAGCCAGGCGTGGTGGCGGGTGCCTGTAGTCCCAGCTACGTCGGAGGCTGAGGCAGAAGAATGGCGTGAACCCGGGAGGCAGAGCTTGCAGTGAGCCGAGGTCGCGCCACTGCACTCCAGCCTGGGCAACAGAGTGAGACTCCGTCTCAAAACAAAACAAAACAAAAAAGACCTGCCTTAAACCAAACTTCCAATTCTCAAATACGTTACAACTTGCCTCTCCCCCTCTGAAATACTACCAAGGCTCTGTGGAAGTGTTCCTCACTGCAGTAAGCTAAAAACCCAGCTCTGTCTTACCACCTGGCTGGGTTGCCGATATTTTGGAAGCCAGCATTTTAAAAAAATGTTATTAAATGAAATGAATATGCTGTGCATGATAAAAGCTGAATCATGGAAAATTATTTAGGTGGTAATACTGACTGATAATTTATCAACAATTAGGGAGTATCAGCCCAAATGGTAGTCCAGAAATCTAGATCTAAACATTAGTATTTTATTAATGGCCTAGATCTAGATGAAAAACTATAGAAAATGTTCATTACACTTACAGGTGACATCAGCACAACCTGTAGTGAAGTGTACCAAAATGAAGAAGTAATTTACAAAAACACAATAAGGCTTTTACAATAACAAAATAAACTAGACTAAATGCAGTGTTGAATCTCGGATTGTATCCCAGGGCAGTAAATGGATAGTGGAACAACCAGTGAATTTCTGAATAGTATCTACAGTCTAAAATGATATTATAGCTATGTTAATTTCTTAAGTTTTGACCGATGTACCACGGTTATGCAAGATACAAACCTTACGGGAAAGTCGGTGAAAAGTACATAGAAATCTTTGTAATGCTTCTGTAAATAAAACCAACCACCTTTACAAAAACTGTAACAGTGAGAAAATCATAACAGTGAAAAAAAATCTGACCTAACCAACTCTATCTTGCCTTTAACCTTCAAGCTGCCCATGGTCATTCCCAAGTGAGAACCAAGCTAACTTTGGAAGAATTTAGTTTACAGGTTAAATGATAACAGCTCTTCCCTAAACTAAACTGCCTTTATAAAACTAATAAAAGGTCACAAGTTTAGGATTATGAGAGGGGACTGAATTTTGTTGTGATTACATGTAAACAATTACCAGCCACTGGTCTGGAGATCACAAGATTTGCAACTTCTCCAATTACTTCTACACATAATATCACTATTAAAGAAGCTAAGATTGGCCTTTTAAAAGATAGACCACTTTCAGATTTTTATATTTCTGATGACTGGATAACTCCTCCCAAACCAGCAACTCCTGTGGCCCCCCCATCCAGAAATGGACTCAGCATACAAGGACCATTTTCCATACCCCTGCAATTGCCTCCCCAACCAATCAGCAGCACCCATTCTCTAACCCCCTGCACACCAAACTATCTTTTAAAAAGTCTAGCCTCCAAATTTTTAGGGAGGTTAATGTGAGTAATAATAAAACCCTGGCCGCCTGTTTAGCCGGCTCTGTGTGCATTAAACTCTTTTTCTCTATTGCAATTCTCCCGTGTTGATAAACCAGTTCTATCTGGGCAGCAAGAAAGAAGAACCTGTGGGGTGGTTACATAAATCAAAGTTGTTCCAAAATTAAAAGTTTATTTGAAAATAATAATGTATTTATGAAAGAAGCTGCACACATCTCAAATGGAGGAGAGACGTTAACTGATCTCTGGATTGTTTTCTCCTCAACTTCACAAACCAAAATCCCTAAGTAGCAGCCCCATGCACAAACACACAGGGATCTTACCTGAAAGCACACTATTCCACGTGTGCTCCCCTTGACTGGCCACAGCCTCAATGTGCACCCTCTTTTCTCCCACTTCAGGGTCTAGCAAGTGAAGGAAATCAGAATATTTCACCCCAAATTATACTTCTTTGACATATTTTGAGATGGCTGTTCAGAGGGCCTGCAAACAAACAGCCCTGCAAAGCTGTCTTTTGTGAGGTAGATTTGTGTCTGTAGAGAAAATCTGCATTGATGCAACCTGGCCTTCTCTGAAGGTTCTCTCTTGTCTGGATCTAGGAAAGACTAACTGAGAGTCTGACACTTTTAAAGGTCTGAAAGAAATATTCACCATCTATTCTCTCTGAGGGCTCCTCCCTATGAGGTTTCATCTACATGACAGGACCACCTTTGCCTCAAGATGGTATATAAGCTTCTGAGCCTCTTGGGGTTCAGGTAATCACTCTGTCTCCCTCCTCCCACCCCACACGTTAATAAACTTGTATGCCATTTCTCCGATTAATCTACCTGTTGTCAGTTTTTTCTGGCAAGTCTTCAGAGGGCAGAGGGGAAGTTCTCCCTTGGTCTCTACATAAGTCATGTCTTAGCTCTTTCTGTTTCAATACTCATTCCCACTCAACCCATTAGATCTTCACCAGCCCACTTCCCTGCCGACCTGAATCTGTGGTCATCCACTTCAATCTTGGCTTCACTGACTCTCTAATTCCCTACATCCTGGACCTCTGGCACTCCCCAGGCCTAAATCACTCCCATTGCTTTTCTTATTCTCAGCTATTAAATGGGGATATTCCTAACACACAGTCACACAACACTGAACGTGACTGGAACACATCTGAACTGTCATTTTTGGGAAGTGTGATAGGAAATGACCAAAAGGTAACTATTATAAAACTATACAGAATTATTAAACTCAGTGAAGATTCAACTGAATACAAATTTATTGTTTAAAATTTAATTGTATATATACCAAATTATATATAAATATATACAAATACAAATATATATGAATTGAGTTAAACCAAGTTGTTTCTAAGATCCCTTGAAGCTCATTGGTTCTGAGTTCCTACTTTACTAACTGAAGGCATCCAACATTTGATCTTCTCCTTTCTGCTTTTCAAAATGTTCCTGTATCCACTCTTCATTCCGTCTTTCTTTTCTTAAGGAAAAGACATGCATCCCTCTTTTCTTTCCTTGGATATCCCAATAATCCATAGTCTCTACCCCATGTTTGCTTTCTTTTTCCTAGGGCCTACCCATTGTCTTCAACATCTTTACTCATTTGACTTTCATACAAATATATATCTCCCCTCCTCTGAAAAGAAAAATCTTCATTAATCCTCCTGTCTCTCTAGTTGCCATCCTGTATTCCTTTCACTGCCACTTTATAACAATAACTACCAACATTTCACCTCTCAATTTCCTCAACCTAAACTTGCTTCTACTTAGATCTTTTGCTAAACTCCACGTTCTATCTCAGCCCTTATTCCTAAGTACTACTGATGATGTCCTCTAAGCCAGGGGTCCCCAACCCCCAGGCCACAGACCAGTACCGGCCTGTTAGGAACTGGGCCTGTTGGGAACCCGGCTGCAGAGCAGGTGAGTGGTCTGCGAGTGAAGCTTCCTCTGTATTTACAGCCACACCCCATCACTCGCATTACCACCGAGCGCTGCCTCCTGTCAGATCAACAGCAGCATTAGATCCTCACAGGAGCTTGAACCCTGTTGTGAACTGCACATGCGAGGGATCTAGGCTGCATGTTCCTTATGAGAATCTAAGGCCTGATGATCTGTCACTGTCTCCCATCACCCCCAGGTGGGACTGTATAGTTGCAGGATAACAAGCTCAGGGCTCCCATGGATTTTATATTATGGTGAGTTGTATAATTATTTCATTATATATTACAATGTAATAATAATAGAAATAAAGTGCACAATAAATGTAATGTACCTGAATCATCCTGAAACCATCCCCCCAACCCATCCGTGGAAAAAAGTGTCTTCCACAAAACTGATCCCTGGTGCCAAAAAATTTGGGGACCACTGCTCTAAGCAATGCCTCCTCCTTTTGCTCTCAGGACCTTCATTATCTCTTCCTCTGTATCTGCAACCCTGTGCCTAGAATGCTGATTCAAGAAAAAACCCAACACGTCCTTTGCCTAGAACACCCTACCCAAACCCTTGTAAACCTGGTGAGTCCCAGGAATCTTTTCATTCCCAGCTCAATCCTCATCCACTGTTTAGAGCTTTTCCTACAGTCTCCAGGTAGACGCCAAGCATGCCCTCTATGCTAACAATGAGCCTTGTACAGACTTCCAATAAATCTAACTCATATATGTCTCCTGCAGGGTTCCTTGAAGATGTCCCTTGTCATTTTTCAAGTACCACTCCAACATTTAACACTTGGGAACATTCCTCTGCAGGTAAGAAGTATTTTTTTCACTTGCTAATTATCTGGAGTACAGAGCCTTCTCTCAGCATAAGTCACCAGTCCGGAACAAAGGGAGTGTCATGTTAATAACACCATTATTAAAAGACTACAAAATGGCAATGCATGGGAGTGTATTATAATAGCAGAATATAATGTACCTCCTTCACTTCTTTCACTAATTCCCCAAGAGTTTTGCCTTTACTGCAACTGAACAGGGAAGGCCCTTAATGAGTTTGAATTGACCAAATATTAACCAGCCTCCAGTGTGCAAACTGATTTTAAAATAGCCCTTGACCTGGAAATACAGGTGTATTCAAATACACACCCTGATAAGAAAGGACAGACAGGGATAGAGTTCAATATCTATCAGCTTGCCAAGTCAAAAGTTCCTCATGATAAACTCTAAAAGTAGAGCAGTATTTTAGATATGGTTTGAATATGTTCATCCTTGTCTAAGAAATCTTGACAAAACAGGTTACATATAGCAAAGTCTACTTTCAGAAAACAAAATCCAGCTGGACATGTGTCAATAAAAACCAACAGTACTGCATTGATAAATAAATAAATATGCAGCGAGGTAACCTAGTCACAGATAGCTAGAGACAACAGTTCTAATGAGTCAAATCACACTACAGAAGTAGTTTCCATTTTAAATACATTATGGTGTTAAAAAAAGAAAAAACTTAATTCCGAAGGTATTTTATGCATGGCTTCCTGAACATCTTTTCTCTTAACAAAAGCTTGTTAGCTTTGTCGAGTTAAGGAAGTCAGCATAGAGAAGCTGGTATTTCCTTGATGCTAAACTATACCAGTGCTAAAAACAAAACAAAACAAATCCCAACCTAATTAATTCTATTTTGGGTCTAGTTTCCAAGGCAGTTTTCACAAAGACTATTCTCAGCCCACTGTTCCTAGTTTTGTAACTTCAACCTTCAGTAGCTGGAAATTGTTATATTTTGGGTAATTCCTTGACACTTATGTTTTATTACAGACTCATTTTATTCTACTTACTATCAAGGGTAAGGGGAAAAGTGTCACTACATTGATTCCATTGATTCTAAAGTTTTAGTACTAAGAATCACGTTTACGTTTATTTCGTGATATCATGTGATATGTTCCTATTAGGGCTTTGTAATTTGGGTTACATCAAACTCATCAACATCAACTTTCAGGTGGAATCCTCCCCAAATCAGAACTGCCAGCCAGTCTCAGCAACCACATAAACCAGAAGAAAAGGAATCAGGAAACTTAGATTCTAGTTTCAAGAGCCACGAACTTGACCTTGGGCAATCCACCTCACTTCTGTAATTCAAACTGCAATGCCTGCTTCCAAAGTATGCTTCTAGAAACAGTTTACGTGTTTTGGGTTTCTCAAATAAAATGGAATTTTCTAAACAGACGGTTTGATACAACAATCTATTCTCTGGTCCAATTTCCCAAACCATCCAGTCCATAAGATCATAAAACTGCATTTCTTCACAAGTTCTTACTTGCACCACTATATTACCAAACACGCCCGAATTCCTTTTCTAGCTTTAAACAGATAGTAATATCGCATCTACTTATTCTTAAATGTGAAAGAAGAGTAATCTATAGAAAAGGAAGTGAAAAGTCTTCATGAATTAACGTCGGGTTATATGAAATCTACTGGTAGACAGAAGAATTGCACTGTCTGTCGTGTACTCAAAAGAAGCTGGAAGATTACTATTATGTCACGTGCATGATACTCTAAAACCTCCAAAATCTATCATACTGAAAAAGGATGGAGAAAATGTAAGTGCATATGGGGCAGCGCGAGAAGCCAAGCCTCCCGCGTCAGGATCCGATGAAATGATACAGCCGACGGTGGCACGTCTCTAGTCCTTACTAACTTTGTTCCCTCTACTGAAAAGAGAGGTGAGGTGGCAGCTACTAACTGCACTGCAGCCCCTAGGAGGACAGGTTCCCTCCTGATTCCAGCGTCGGCCCCAGATCCTGAAGAAGGGACCGGAAGAGGATGAAGCTAAACTGTAAGCCGGGTTGAGTGGCCCATTTCTCCCGGGCAGCGGCCGCGGTCATCCTGGGAACCTCACCGCCACTGGGATCCCGGGTCCCGACCCCCTCTGGAGAAGGAGGAAGCAGTGCCAGGCAGGGAGGAAGGTGCACCGGCAGCGTGCAGCCTCACCTGACGCTGGACGGGCCCCACCCTTGCTCTCAAGTGTCCCGCTTCCAACCAGGACCCAGCCAGGGCGCGGCGTCCGCCTCTCTCGGCTCCACTTACTTTGTCGCTGGTGCTCTCGGTTTCGTGGTCGCCGCCGGCCGCCTCTCCCTCGCGGTGTGGCGGCGACACCGCTTCCCTGGGGCCGGGGCAGCTTCCCCGGTGCCTCAGCTCCAACATCTTCCGCTCCCGCGCTGCCGTGGCGGCCTCCTCAAGCACCCCGAAACCTGAGCTGCAAGCAGGGTTCTGCAGGCGGGGCGCCCCGCCACCTCGCAGCCGCGCCCTGGAGTCCCGCGGAGCCGCAGCCACTAACGCGGCCCCACCATAGAGCGGCCGCCGCGCCGGTCACCTCCAAAACGGCATCAACGAGAGAGCGCTCGAGGCCGCCTGCAGCGAGCGCGGCTCCGGCGGAGGTCCCGGGCAGGCTCCGGGCGCCAGGCGCGAGCAGAGAAGGCGGAGACGCGGCCTCCGGTTGCCAGGTGCGCGTCTCCACGCAGAGGCCCAGGTAGGAGGAGGAGAAGGGGCGGGGAGAAAAGGAGGACGCTTGACCCGCTTTAGCGCGGCTCTGGGCTCCCGCCGCCGCGCAGGCCCCTCCCGCCCCGCCCCCCGGAGCCGGACTCGGAGCCGGCTTGTCCCGGCCCCGCACACTTCTCCCTGCCCGGGCCTCCCGCACCAGGTCTCGCGCCGCAGGCCCCGCCCCTCTGCGCTGCACTGCGGTTCCCACAGCCCCGCCTCCCCGTGAGGTGACGTCAGGAGCCCGGCCCGCGACCCCGCCCCCGCCTCTGCGTGCTGGCAGGTGGGGGCCTGAGAAAAGGTGGGAGCGGTGGGGCGGGAGGAGGCTGAGGAGCTGGGAGGCGGAGGCGGGGCCAGCGCGGGCTGGAAGTGAGCGTTGAGAACTTGCAGGCTAGTCCCTGGGCCGCTGCGAGGGCTGGAGGAGCTACTCAAAGACGCCCGCTAAATGTTAACAGCGCTCAACACTGCTGCTTCAAACGCCTCCCCGGCCTTGTCAGCTTGACACGCGCGGCGGGTCGGAGGCTCACTGGACCAGAAACTTGTCTGGCAGGACGGACTGGTTGGCCCCGCGGCATTCCAGCCCAGTGTCATCACCTTGAAAACAGGAGATGCTTTTGCCTCACTGGGCGTCCAGAGGTGCGTCGGCCAACAATTCCGATCACAACCGCAGCGCCGTCTCCCAGAAACTCAGTACTGAATCTCACAAAGGTCACCACCTAGGATCCCAACACAGTGTGAGATGCTATGGGACGCCGTTGCCCTCCAGCTAGTCTCTGAGCAGTGGTGGACCTTGGGCTGCCAAAGCGGGAACAGGAAGGGCACAAGATCTGCATTAATTCTAGTCTTAATCCTGTTAGAAGGTGATTAGTTTTCTTGACATGTATCCGCCACCCGGTCATTACTGACAAGCTAACAAATGAAAAAAAGAGAGAAACAAAGAGAAAAAAGAAAAAAGGCGGGCCTTCACACAGGACAAGGTTCAGGAGAGCACCCTTATAGAAATAGATCAACTATGTAAATTCCTCAAGGTCTTTACTGACACGGTAAAAGTAAGTAAAGTGTTGAAAATTTACTAACAAATGAGCAAAACCAAAAGTCAAATTAGGATGCATTGAAAAGCAGAACACAAAGACATCATTTTACCTCACCAAACAGATCTTTGAAGCTGTGCGGTTAGTTTGGGTTGCACGTTTTCAAAAGGATGTCGAGAAACCATAATTTGTTCCTTATGGGGTGGATAACTGAAATGACAGAGAAGATTTGAAAATAAGTCCCTACTGAACAGAGAACTATGGGGTGACTACATTAATAAATTGTCCAATTGTTTGGAGGATCGGAAATGAAGGAGTGCTTGATAGTGAAGAAGATAATCAGAATAATGGCTGAAGCCAGTAGTAGGGTTTCCATCTCTGGCTACTACCCTACCCTGCATAAAGGATTAGAAGTGCTCCATTCTAACTCTCTGGAAGTCAAGAAGCCTGAGTTCTAGTGCTGCCAATGCCACTAATTGCATGGCCTTGGTAAGTTATTAACCCTCAGTGTCCTCAGCTGTAAACGGATAGTAAGGATGGCCTCTGTGGTCCCTTTTAGCTCTTAGACGATCAGAATCCAGCCTTTGCTTTCCCCCATGGTCCAAGAAAAGGAGACCTACTACACAAGGTACCTGAACAACTTCCTGTTTCCCCTTTGCCTAGTCCTCTCATGGCCTCTTTGACTTTTTCCCTTTGCTGCAGGAGGAAAAAAGAGAGTGAGAGGAGTGACAGAGGGGAACAACAGAGGACAGTAGTGCGTGATAGAAGAAACAGTATTCCCCAACCCAGGAAAAGTGGGACCAATGCAAAGACTGCCAAAATAGAATGTGAGGTTCTACTTACCTCACCTTCCTTAAGCTCTGCTCCTTCTTGTGTTTTAGCTAAGAGAGCAATTTCTTTCAATCTTCTTCATTATAGCTATTACCACTAGTTGAGTGAATAGACTGAGTCCAGACAGCAGAAACTGGCTTATTCATCTTTACAGGTCTAGCTCTTTCCACAGTGCCAAAAACCACCCTTCTATAGGTAACAATGTTTGCTGAAGAGGTGAATGAAGAAATGATGGGATGGCAAAGGTATAGCACAACAAGGGAAATTTATACAGTCATATGTTGTTTAACAGTGGGGATACATTCTTAGAAATGCATCATTGGGCAACATCACAGGGTATACTAAACCTAGATGGCATAGCCTACTGCACACCCAGGCTACATGGTATAGCCTATTACTTAGACAACTGTAACACAATGGTAAGTATTTGTGTATCTAAACATAGAAAAGGTACTATAAAAATATGGTATTATAATCTTATAGGCTACAGTGGTATATGTGGTCCATTGTTGACTGAAACATTGTTATGCAACCCATGAATGTATAGTATTTATGGTTTCTTCATTTAAAGTCTATTTTAGACTTACATAGACACTTTTCTTCATTTTCACTTTATATCAGAGAGAAGTTGATTTTAATACTTATTAAAAGTGGTTGTAGTAATGACTTTATTTTACTTAAGATACTGTACAATATACTCAACCACAACTGGCTTACGGAACTCTGTGTTCTCAGACTTTTTCTATGTCTTTTTTCTAATTTTTCCTTTTTCTTTCTTTTTTATTTTTATCTTTCGTTTTCATTCAGGGAACTTATGTTCTCTAAATTTATTGTATTTGTGTTTGGTAACACAAAATCTGGCGTGTAATGGTTTCTAAGGCTTTACCTGTTAATTTTTCTTGTATTTATCCTGCTGAAGGGCTTCATGGAAACCCTAAGCATATGCATGGGCCTAATCACGTAGTACAACCCAGCCAGCACTTCTTGGATTGATTTTAAGATTTTCCAGCCGGGCGTGGTGGCTCACATCTGTAATTCCAGCACTTTAGGAGGCTGATGCATGAATGTCTCTTGAGCCCAGAAGTTCAAGACCAGCCTGGGCAACATATGGAGACCCCATCTCTACACAAAAATTTAAAAATTAGCTGGGCATGGTGGCGTGTGCCTGTAGTCCCAGCTACTTGGAAAGCTGAGGCGGGTGGATTGCTTGGGCCTGGGAGTTCGAGGCCTCTGTGACCCCTGTTCACTCTACTGCACTCTAGCCTGGGTGACAGAGTGAGACCCTATCTCAAAAAAATTAAAAAAAAAATTTTAAAAAAAATTTTTTTTCACCTTCTAACTCCTAATGAGGAATTTGCTAGAGAGATGAGAGAGAGTGCTAACGTTATTGCTTATATGGTTTTTATTTTAGATTACTGTTTACCTTCTCTTTTGCTGGAAGTAATAAGAGCATAAGATGCAGAGACGTTGCCTGAAGTAGTGAGAGTAGATGAAGCAGTTTGTTACCACTCTTCCCTGAATACCCTCAGAATGTTCCCAGACTGATAAACATGCCCCTCTGGGGTGGGAATGTGAATCTGAGCTGCTTTTCACATCAGAGGCTCAAAGGTGCCCTGCTGGAATGTCCCCAGCTTGCCAGGGGCGGAAGAAATCTTCCTCAGCCAAGCGTTTCCAGTTGCTTAGATACCCAAGTAACAGCTTTTGTCGCTTGACCTATCTTTCTCTGTTGCCCTCTGTCAGCTTTGTTTATAAGTTAGAGGTAGGAATTTCTGATTTAGGCCACCAGAGAAACATTTTATGGGAAAATCTTGAAAAACAACTTATATTTACATTTTTATTTTTAATGGAATTGCACGGGAAAATAATGGTGTACTATCAAGTATTGTAGTGAGAGAGTATCAGAGGAGAGAGTGCTATGGTGTAGTTAGAAGTATGGAGTTTCTATACCAAGAACCCTGGGTTTGAGTCATAGCTTGAACCTAGCTTGAATCATAGCTTGAATCTAGCTGTGACCTAATTTGCTTTCAGCAACATTTTCATCAAACACAGCTGAAGCTATATCCTAAATGACATGTTCCTTCATAATTTAAGTAATAATTCTTTACATAACACTTTACAAAGCACTTTCGCATGCATTATTTCATTTCTTCTACTCAACAATCTACAAGCTAGGCATAACAAATATTACTCCTGTTTTACAAGGAAGAAAACCTGAGGCTTAGATGTAAAGGGTTAGAAAGGAAAGCTAAGTTTTTATACTTAGTATAAGTATAAAACTTATATTAAGTTTTATACTTCAAAATCTGCCTGGTCCATGATGTAGTACAAATATATAGCAGCAGAAACAAGCAACTTCTAAAGCTGGGGGTGGGGGTTAGTTTGTTATAACAGGCACATAAATTCTGAAGCTAGCCTGAGTTCAAATCCCAGCTCTGCCACCTACTGGCCTTAGGCAATTAGCTTCAGTGTCCTTGTGCAAAATTAGGATAAGGTAATATTTTCTTCCTAGGATTCTTATGAAGACTAAACTGGTTAATATATGTAAAATACTTAGAATAGTGTCTGGCCATCGTGAAGCACCACACAAGTGTTACTTATTACTATCATTCATATTATTGAAAGCTACATTTCTTGAGGAGAACAATATTTGACTTCTAAATTCGCTAAACTGCAACACCCCAGAGGACTGTGAAGAAATAAGGATATGCTGATATTGCTTTGGTGAGGTAGGTAGAAATTATGAAATGGGGTAGAGAGACTTTGCAAACAAGTACAAAGAAATCAGCCTACCCAATTAGTTAATTTGTGCCTTATCCTTCTGAGGTAGTACAATTAATGAATTTGGCATTCCCCATTATTAACTGAAATCAGTTACTACTCTTCTACCTTGTATATAATATGACGACTGTGGAATTCCTTCCATTTCTAGGTTCTTCACTGAATCCTAGTAGCTCTAAGCAAATTAAATTTTGTTTTAATTTCTTTGTAAAGTAGGCAACATATTTCTTCTATAATTTTATAAATTGTGCTTTTAAAAATGGGTATATGTGAGCTTTTTATACTGTATGGTTCAAGTATTTTGTTATTGTTGAATATGGCTATATATATGTGTGTGTGTGTATATATATATATATATATATATATATATATATATATATTTAGAGGATATCATTTGGAGAAGTGGAAGAGATTGGTAACTGTCTTTAGAAGGGCCGAATCACTGATTTGCCTCAAACTATGTCAGTTATCCCTCTTCAACAAATTGCAGAAATCCAGAGGTATCAGTTAAAGCATGCGGCAAAAAACACTGATTCTGGTTGAGTTGGGCAGACAAGGAACTTATTGAAAGGATGTTAAGAAGTTCACAGAACTCTTGGAAGAACTGAAGAACACAGCATAGAAAACTGGGAGAAACAAGGAATTTCAAGCAACAGTCAGGATTACAGTCAAAATTATTCCTAAAACCTCAATTGAGGCCACCATTGCTAGATCCACTGGAACAGGACATGACAGCTTGCTCTGTCACTGAGGTAGGCACCAGTCACTGGTTGCCACAGTTGCAATTGCTAATCCTTTCTTACTTAGGTTTTTTTCTTCGCAAACTCTTTATTATTAATAATAGTTTAATAGGAGGAATCATATTCTGGTAAAATGCAATAATAGCCTAAGATTTCTGTGAAAAGAGCCTTGCTAATCAGATAAATAAAAGTTTTAGTTTATATCTTTTACAAGAGATAAACACTATACTTCTCCTCTAAGACATCCTACTTATTTATGTTTTAACTCCTCTAAAATCACAGTGTGTCTTACAATTGATGCAATAAGAAATAGTTTTATTGGCCATTTTATTTTTCTTCACAGTACATAAAATATGGTGCATTTTAAAAATGATTTAATTGAGTCTATGAAGTACAACACTCTAAAGATTATTGTTAGGAAGATCACATATCTTGGATTTTTCCAGATAGTCCCAATTATATGTACTTTTTTCTTTCAGTGAAGAGTATTTATTAAATATGTAACTATATATGTTTTTTTATTTTGAAAACTTTTTCACATCTATATATTCTCATAGCAAAAAAAAATTTCCTAGACTATATGAGGCCTCATTTTTTGTTTGAAAAATATAGTCAATAATATGTTTTAAAAATTATTTCACTGGTGAATGTATTTTATTCCTGAAAATTAAAAAAGACTTTTAAAGTTTACATATTTTTGGTGATACCTATTGTTTGTTGCAATTGTCTCTTTTCTCATAGTTTGATTTACTAAAAAATATTTTTGTCGTATTTTCAGAAATGTCATTGATTTGCCCCCCAAATTATACTAATATCCCAAATTATTGTGGAGATTAATTTCCCCTTAACAATAATAATTTATGCATTTTACCATTTAGCATTTGATGCATTTTTATGCATTTAACTGGGAGGAGTTGGTGAATGGGAGTAGTAAAGACTGTGGCCTCCAGACAGTTGGGAAAATCCTAGAACAGGAAATCTATTAGAGTGTCTTTGGTTGGACCAGGACTGGTTGTTAACCTAAGATGCTTAAGAAAGACCTAATACAGCAGTGGTGTTCTTTTGTTTTGTGTTTTTGTTAACAAACTGGGCTTCAGCAACATACCATGCAGAGTGTAAGTTCTGTACTATTGCTTTTAAAGAACAAATGCCACAATGATTTACTTCGATTAGGTTTTGCCAAGTTATTTCCAGAACATCTTATTCAAGGACACTTTGAGATTTCATAAGGCAAAGCTTTGCATTACCTTACTTGCAAAGCAAATTTAGACAAATTTGGTGATCTTGTTAAGAGAATAAGTGAACAGTATTGATCTGTATATATGTAGATTAAACCAATTTTTCAGAACTGTGGAATCCTTGACAAATATTTATTTATTTTTATTTTTTTTTCTTTTTTTTTAGAGACAGTGTCTCACTCTGTCACCCAGGCTGGAGTGCAGTGGTACAATCATAGCTCACTGCAACCTCAAACTCCTGGGATCAAGGGATCCTTCTGCTTAAGCCTCCCTAGTAGCTAGTACTACAGGCAGGTACCACCATGCCAGGCTAACCTATTTATTTATTTATTTATTTGTAGACAAGAGTCTTGCTATGTTGCTCAGGCTGGTCTCGAACTCCTGATCTCAAGTGATCCTCCTGATTGTTAACATACCAGTGTTGGGAAAAATTGATTTGGAAATGAGCAAAAGAAATTTCTGGCTATTCTTACAGTGGACCTTAAGCATGCCTAGGGGGCCTGCTAGGCACTATTTGATTTCATAGGGGGATGCACAATTTTTTTTTTATAGATGGAGTCTCACTATGTTGTTCAAGCTGTGGTGCAGTGGCTATTCACAGGCTCAATCATAGTGCACTACAACCTTGAACTCCTCTTGGACTCAAGTGATCTTCCCACCTCAGCTTCTGGAGTAGCTGGACCACAGGTGTGCACCACCATGCCCAGCTGGGGATGCACCTTTGATTGTCTTTGATCAAATAGGCTGTTTTACAACTCTGTTGGAATAAAAAAAGTGCTTTGTGGAAAACTGATAACCACGTTCTTGTTCATGGCAATGTAAGTGAATTTTGTCTGATAGAGGATATAAATCATTTTAAGTCAGAAACCCATTTGAACTAATTTTAATGTATCTCTAGTTCTCTCATTTGTAAATGCATGAAATCTTTGATATGTGTTCATTTTATATTTGTATAAGATTTGTGATTTTTGCACTTTTGGAAATGATACTTCAGCTATAGTAATAATGCATGTTTGTTTTTATTCGATAAATATTCATCTGCATATGTAACAAATATTTATTGAGTACCTACAATGTCAGAACACAGTGCTAGGCACTATATAGCAGATATATATATGTATATATACACAAATGATACATAAATACACACTAGAGTTAAAAAGTTAAACAATACAGTATTATCTAGAGCATATAACAACATAAAGGTGATTTTCCATCTTTCTGGAAACACTTCTTTCCCTAGAAATAACCACTGTTGTTAACTGTTTGCCAGAGTTTCTTGCAGATCTGTTTCTTATGTAAGTATATATGCACATGCATATATTCTACATAATGTTCTGTGACATAATTTTTTATTTAATATTATGCCTTAAAGCACTTTTTGTGTTTATAAGTACATTCTAATTCTTTAAAATCATTATATATATACATGGTGTGACTGTACCATATTTTACTTAGCCATTTGTACAGCAGACATTTAGGGATTTCCCCGATTTTGTAGTTATTAAAATAACACTGCAATAAACATCCTTGAACATATATTTATGAAACATGTGCAATTCTATAGATACCTAGACATGGAGCAATAGATCAAAGAATACGTGCATTCAATACTTTGATAAATTCTACAAGATTTCCCTCCCAGATGGCTGTACCAATTGCTATATGTTGATTAACTCAGATTCCTATTATAATACCTCTGAGGATGATGTTGGGGTGGAGATAGAAATATGTTAGAATAGATAGAATAGGTTGTGCCACTAACTTCTCTAACTGGTGTGTGGACTTATCCTTTCTTTAATTCTAACACCAACTGCGAGAATTGCTTATTTTAGAACTTCCATTTGAGAAAGCTGAGGCCAAATGCAGGAAATTGCAGTTTTCGCAGTTTTCTTTCATTTCCCCTCACCCGCCTACTCTGCTATCACATGAAGATCCAAGTTACATCAGATCCTTCTCCTCTCCCAGCTCCATTACTTACCAGGAGCCATCTCAGGCAGGCTGGGTTTTACTTTGTGTCTTCGTCCATTCAGGGTGCGGTAAGAAAGTACCATAAACTGGGTGGCTTAAACAACTTATGCTTATTTCTCACAGTTCTGGAGGCTGGGAAATCTGAGATCAATGTTCTGGCAGATCTAGTGTCTGGTGAGGGCCCTCTTCCTGGTTTGCAGATAGCTGCCTTCTCGTTGTACCCTTACAGGGTAGAGAACAGAGAAACAGAGAGGCAGAAAGAGAGAGAGAGAGAGAGAATGAGAAAGAGAGCACTCTCATGTCTGTTCTTCTAAGGGCACTCATCCTGTCATGAGGACTCCACTCTAATAAACTAATTTCCTCCCAAAGGCCCCATCTCCAAATACCATCACACTGGGAATTTTAGGGTTTCAAGATGTGAATTTGGAGGTGACACATTCAGTCCATAGTACTTTGTTTTAGAATTTTCTCTCCAGACATGAGTCTGACAGCACATACCCCTGCTGATGTGGAGGAAGAGTGGTAGACAGTTGTGGCCCCACCCTTTGAAACCAAGGATGCAGCCCTGATGAATCACCTTTGAAGTCATTCTTTCCTTTTCTTGAAGAATAGTTCCTGTTTGCAGTCAAATCGCTCTATCGTAACTGTCCTATAGAATTTAAATCTGACAGCCTTTCTTCATTTTGTCCTGTCTCCATCTTCTTCAGTTCAAACTGACAGTATTTCTGCTGATATAATTCTATAACCTTTGTTATCAAGTGATAGTCTAGCCACACTCTTGGTGTCCTCTTCCAAACATGCCTTCACATATTTTGCAATATGGGCAGGCTGAAGATTTTCCAAATCTTTAAGCTCTGGTTCCTTTTTGCATAACAATTTCTTCTTCAATTCATTTCTCACTTCTTACATTTTACTAAGCAAGAGGAACCAAGACACTCCTGTAGCACTTGGCTTAGAAATCTGCATAGCTAAATATCTAGTTTCATCGCTTCCAAGTTCTGCCTTTCACAAAACACTAGGACACAACTCAGACAATTTCTGTGACATTTTATGACCAGAATCACGTTTCCTCCAGTTTCCAATAATTTATGTTCCTCTTTCCATCTGAGATCTCCTCAGAATGGCCTTTAACACCTGGTATTTCTGCCAACAGTCCCTTCATGACTGTCTAGGTTTTTTTCTAGCATGCACCTCAAAACTCTTCTGACCTCTATCTACCTTGTACCCAGTTTTAAAGCCTCTTCCACATTTTCAAGTATAGTTTGCAACACACCCCATTCTGTATACCAAAATCTGTATTAATTAGCTTGGGCTGCCATCACAAAATACCACAGACTGATGGCATAAACAACAGAAACTTATTTTCTCCCAATTCTGAAGGCTGAAAGTCAAGATCACAGTACCAGCCTGACTGGTTTCTGTTGAGGGCCCTCTTCCTGGCTTGCAGACGGTTGCCTTCTTGCTATGTCCTCACATGGTGGAGAGAAAAGGAGAGCTATCCAGTGACCTTTCTTATAAGGACACTAATCCTATCAGACCATGGCCTTACCCTTATGACCACATGTGACTACAATTACTTCTCATTACAGAACAGAATATTTAAGAGGCTACAAGAAATTGAATCAACATATATTGCTGAGCAGCTGCATGTGGAAAAGGAAGGGTGAGGAATTAAGAAACGTAGGCACGTTTTTGACTTGGGTGGCCAGGTGGCTGGTGTTGTCATTCCTGGAGACTGGGACTACAGGAGGAGAAATAGGGTTGAAGGAAGATGGAAGAGAAAAAATGAGATGCCTAGTAAGTATTAGGCACTATTGGTCATTTTACATATGATATGCTTAATCCCTACCACAAACGTGTAAGGTTAATCTACTGATCATTTAGATGAGGACAAGCAGAGAATCACTTGCCCAAGTTCAAACAAGAATCAGTAGAGAAGTTACATCTGCCACCCAGACCCTACCCTCTCTGCTCCACCCACTGGCTAGCTCTATGTCCATGCTCACACATGGATACTTCAAGGAGCCTGTGACACATCTCAGGCAGGTGGCAGCAGGAAGCCGGCCTTGCTAGTTTTAAGAGCTGTAGATATTTGCTTGCAAACCATTAGCATAAAGACAGTTACAGAAGGGGTCAGAATAAGAAAGTAAGATAATTTCTTCATAATAAGCCAAAATGTAAGGGCCTCAATCATATCCTATCTCATATCAGAAGCATCAGGATGTTTTCCGCATTCTATGAAGCACTTTAATCAGTTATAAGTAGCAATTCGAATTTGGGCAATGAGCTAATAGATAATTTCCTACCAGACGGCTCCATTGAGTGTTTTATAAAAAGTAGCTAGAAATGTGGGATTACCTGTGAATTCCCAACTGTTTTCTGAACACAGTAGCTTCACTTATTCAGAGATGTAAAGATAGGTATTTCAATATTTATTTTTGCAAGGCTCATAATTATTATTGAATATTGTTTTTATTCATAATTTTTAATAGTTTCATCTCTTTCATATTTTAGGAACTATTTCATGCATACTGTTTAAATGCATCATATTTGAATAACCAGGTATCCTAATGTGGAACCTGGGATATTTATTTATTTCACAACTATTCATTGAATTTCTGTTCTGTGCCACATACTATTCTAGGTGTTGATCTATGACAGTTAATCTGACAGACAAAAATCACTTACCCCTTGGAGCTTATATTCTTGGAAAGGTGGAGAGAGGAAAGACAGACCAATAAACAAATGAATATATAAAATGTTAGCTGGTAAGTCCTATGGAGAAATATAAAACTGCTAGATGGGAGGGTAGGGGATTATGATGGGGTGGCAGGGTGAAATCTGGGAGGGCAGGGGTATTCTATTTTATTTAGAATGGTTAGAGGAGACCTAACCACTAATCGTCAGGTGCAATTTGAGCCCCAGACTGAAGGAGGTGAAGTAGTGAATCACGTGAATAATCCAGGTAAAGAACAATCAAGGTAGAGAGAACAAGTGCAAAGGCTCTGAGGCATGAGTTTGCTAAACATCTTCTGGAATCTACAAGGAGGTCAGTGTAGCCAGAGCTGAATGAGTGAAAAGAAGATGATCAGGGGCCAGCCTGACTTGGAGTGTGTGTCGCTGGATCATGTAAGCCCTAGTAGAACTGATTAAGGACTTACACTCTGAATGAGATAAGCACCCAGAGATAGGAAGCCATCAGAAGGTTTTGGTTTCTTTTATTTTTTGTAGAGACAGGGTCTCACTCTGTTGCCCAGCCTGGTCTCAAACTCCTGCCTCAAGTGATCCACCTTGGCCTCCCAAAGTGCTGGGATTACAGGTGTGAGCCACTGCGTCTGGCCTATTGGAAGATTTTAAGAAGAGGGATGACATGATCACCTAAGTTGTGAAAGGATTGTCCTGGTGCCATGTGGAGTACGGACTGTAGGAGCTAAGATAGAATCAGAAAACCAGTTGGGAGGCTTCTGAGATGATGGTGGCTTGTGCCAGCTTGTTAATTAAGGAGGTCATGAGAAAGCATCAAATTCTTTATGGTTTGAAGGTAGAGCCAACAGAATTTTCTTTTGGCTTGGAGGCAGGATGTGACAGAAAGACACCAAGGTTTTTGCTTTGAACAACTGGAAGGATGGGACATCTCTTAGAGAGATGGAGAAGACTATAGGGGCAGTGGGACATAAGTCTGTGCGGTCTTAACTGTGAGTCTACCTGTTAGCATGTGGTTGTTAAGAGTATAGACTATGAAATTAAGTCTTTGTATCTAGAAAGTGGGGTCTGGCTGTGAAATCTCTGTGCTCCTCACATGGGCTAAGGAGAGGCAGGGGACACCTCAGTATCTACACAGCTGCAATGGGCCCTACAAAGAATAATGTGCTCATATACTTGTTAAAAACTTCCAAGGGATGTGTGGATTCTGAACCTCCCCCTTTTTAATTTCAACTGTGGCATTATATACATATAGTAAAGGTCACATATCTTAAGGGCAAAACTTGAATTTTTACATATGCATACACCCGTGAAACCAGCATCCCAGATCAAGGTCTAAAATATTTCCATTGCCCGGGAATGCTCCCTCAGTGCCCTTGCCAGTCTATACTGGTTCCCCTCTTTCTGCAGAGGTAGCTACTATCCTAACTTCTGTCACCAAAGATTTCTTTATTTCTTGGACTTTATATAAACAGAATCATACAGTATGTGCTCATTTACATCTGATTTATTTTAATCATCTATGAGTTTCATCCACGTAATGTGTGTAGCAATAGTTCCTTTTATATATTTCATATTTTTCAATGATGTATGGTATAAATTGTATAAATAAACCAAAGTTTACTTATTCATCCTGGTGTAAATGAACATTGGCATTGTTTCTGGTTTGGGGATATTATTCATAAAGCTACTGTAAGCATTCATAAATGTGTCTTCTGGTGGACTTGCACTCATTTTTCTTGCATATATACCTGGGAATGAAATTT
Organism: Homo sapiens; assembly: GCF_000001405.40. NCBI lineage: Eukaryota > Metazoa > Chordata > Mammalia > Primates > Hominidae > Homo > Homo sapiens. Next base: position 84,570,010 of record NC_000004.12, on the reverse strand, counting down.
GCTGAGTCATCCTTTTTTTTTTTTTTTTTTGAGACAGAGTCTCGCTTTTGTTGCCCAGGCTGGAGTACAATGGCCTAGTATCTGCTCACCGCAATTTCCGCCTCCCGGGTTCAAGCGATTCTCCTGCCTCAGCCTCCCGAGTAGCTAGGATTACAAGTATGTGCCACCACGCTCGGCTAATTTTGCATTTTTAATAGAGACAGGGTTTTGCCATGTTGGTCAGGCTGGTCTCGAACTCCGGACCTCGGGTGGTCTGTCCACTTTGGCATTCCAAAGTGCTGGGATTACAGGCATGAGCCACCACACCCAACCGAGTCATTCTCTTTTAAAACGTTTGTAACTTGACGTCATTCTTATTCAAATGAAACCTCTATTTTTTGAAAAAGTCCCCTATCAACCAGAACAAAACTCTGTACTTCAGCACTTTGTCACATCTCCTACAGACAAATCTACTCCTCAAAGAATTCTTAATAATAAATGATTTAGTATTAATATATGCACTTATTATAGACCAGGCACCATGCCAAGTTCTTTACTTGAGCTCATATAATCATCAGAAGAACTCTTTGACGTAGACACTATTATTTTCCCCATTTTACAAACAAGGAAACTGAGGCATTAAGTCGAAGGATTTGCTTGCTGTCTTGCAGGTGCTAAATGGTACAGCCAGGATTCAGCCAGGTCCCATTCTTACTGCAAGAGTTTGTGGGAAGTACTTTTGTTTTCTCCCACAGTTTATCTTCAGCTACCTGTTGCTGCCATGTTCTCCTCAGCCTTGCCTTGCAGCATCTCCACCTCCCATCCTCCACCCACTTGACCCCATTTCTCTTCCTTTTTCCATGGCACAATTTAGCGCATCCCAGCTGTCTCAATTGTGCTTCCTACTCTTACTATTTCAAATATGCAAAAGCCTTTATCCTGAAGTTGACTATTCTCAGCAAGCAAAGATACCTCAATTACCAACCAACATCCATCCTCTTGAGAAGGGCAGATAGGGTGTTTGTATGGGAAAAGGGGAATAATTTTAAATAATACAAATTGTGTTTTCCTGTCAGATGTGTCTTTGAAAAGATGTTTGTTTTGTTTTTGTTTTCACGGATTTTCTTTTTACTTCTCTTTCCCTGGTGTGTGGTAGGTGGTCTAGTATTTTGGTGACTGATGGGACATGAAGGATGATAGAAATAGATGTGGCAAAGATGACTCCAAGGCTTTGATCTCGGGGACTACTAGAGAATGTCTGTGTTTGCCAACAGCAGGGAAATTGAAAAGAGTTGCTCATTCCTCCCAACCCCCAAAGGAATTAGCAGCTGTGGGAGCTGAGAATTTTTTTGGACATGGAAGTTTGGAGAGGATAATGCAACACTGAAGTAAACACATTCAGGTCGTGGGAGTTGTGTGAGACTGTGGTACAAGTGGAGAAACGAAGACTGCAGATAGAAGACTTAGGAATTGCCAGCATAGAGGTGGGGGCTGAAGCAGCAACTGGAAACTATTATTCAAAGAATGAGAGTGCAAAGGGCTGACTGAGTGGGGCAGGGAGAAGTGTGGGAATCCAGGAATGGTAATAAGCAAAAAAAAAAAAAAAAAAAAAAAAGATGGAGAGGTAAGTAGAGAATCTGAATGTTATAACATTATGGAAGCCAAAGAAGAAAAATGTTCAACAACAGCTGCTAACATTTATAAGCCTTTAATAGTGACATGCATTATTTCAGTTAAAATTCTCAAAAACCATATGATCAAAATACTGTTATTTCACCTGTCCTCACTGATGGACATAGTTTATCGAGGTTAGATAATTTGTCTAGAGTCATACAGCAAGTAATCATATCAAGATTAGCTGGACTGTAGGATCACCACCTGTAAGTACTCTATAGGATGCATTTGAGAAGCCAAAGTTTAGATAAAATGGCTGATAGTTATATAATCTTTATTGTGTCCCAGGCTCTGTTAAGTGCCTTTTTATACTTACTGAATTCTGACACAATTTTCAGATCTACTGTTCCCAAACCAAGGTGTAAGGAGGTGTTACATGACTCACCCAAGACCATACATTTGTGAAATAATGGAATTGGAATTAGAACCCTGTCAGTTTATTCCAGAATTTATACAAAAAAAAATGTTTAAGAGGGAGAAAAAGCCATCTTTCCATTTTAGCAGTTAAAAAACATCCAGTCTTTTTGTTTCCTACAGTAGATCTCTTTAACTTATTCCTCGTATCTAACTGAAATTTTCTATCTTTTGATCAGCATCTCCCCAACCTCTCTTCTCCATGACCCCAGCTGCTGGTAACCATCATTCTACTCTCTGCTTTTATGAGTTCATTGTTTTTGTTGTTGTTGATTTTCAGACAGAGTCTCTCTATGTTGCCCAGGCTCAAGTGCAGTGGTGCAATCTTGACTCACTGCAACCTCTGTCTCCTGGGTTCAAGCCATTCTTGTGCCTCAGTCTCCCCAATAGCTGGGATTACAGGCATGCACCACCAAGTCCAGCTAATTTTTTTTTGTGTGTGTGTGTTTTTACTAGAGATGGGGTTTTGCTATGTTGCCCAGGCTAGTCTCAAACTCCTGGTCTCAAGTGATCTGCCCACCTCAACCTCTCAAAGTGTTGGGATTATAGGCATCAGCTACTGCACCTGACCTTGTTTTTTTTTTAGATTCACATATAAGTGAGATCATGCAGTATTTGTCTTCCTGTGTGCGGTTCAGTTCATTTAACATAACGTCCCTGTTTCATCCATGTTGTTGCAAATGCTAGAATTTCCTTCTGTATTAAGGCTAAATAGTATTCCATTATGTACAGATATCACATTTCCTTTATCCATTCATCCATTGATTCCATATTTTGGCTATCGTGAATAGTACTGCAATAAACATAGTGCAGATGTCTCTTCAACAAACTGATTTCATTTCCTTTTTATATACACCTAGTAGTGGAATTGCTGGATCTGAAAGCCACTATCTTAACCTCTGTTAGATATATCTTATACCTTCTCTCTCTGCTCTGTGTCCACCTTGCAGTCTTAGTCTCTGAGAAAATCATATCCATTTCATGATTACCTGCCATCTTCCCCCTGCCATCCCCAACTTTTTCTTCTCAACCATAGAAAAGAACTTGGAGTTTCTGAAGGGCCCAGTAGTCTCAGTTGAGCAGATTTTAATTATAAGTGGAAAATCGCTGACTGCCCTAATATGGCAAAAATGTTAATCATGTAGGTAAAATTTTCTTCTGTCCTTTCTCATTTCTTTTCTCTCTGATGAAAGTCAAGACAAATATTAAATATTTCTCATTGCTTCTTAGGTGAGAAATGCCACCTATGAATGGTTAGGCGAGCAGTGGTAAAAATGGAAGTTTATGTGTTTATTATAACCAGAATGTAGGCTTGCCAGGTGGAGCAGATAAAAATACAGGATGCCCAGTTGAAATTGAATTTCAGTAAAACCACAGATAATTTGTTTAGCATAAGTATGTCCCATGTAGTATTTGGAACATACTTATATTAAAAATAAATATTCACTGTTTATTTGAAACTGAAATTAATACAGGAGTTATTAAGAAATTATCTTAGGCAGTTACAGAGGGTAAAAGGGTTCTCAGTGAAATTTCCCTTTAATAAAAAGCAGCCCCAAACCATTTCTTTTCTAACAGAAAGCAGCCTGAAAAGTCAAGTTGCAAGCATAGATATGCAAGCTAGAAGCTTGCATATGTAAATGTCGGCAGGTGTACCTGGAAGCCAGGTATATTCAATATGGTGATCCCTGCTCCCTTTTCTTTGTCACCACATGTGTGGGTATCATGGCACCGGCCAGATAAAGCCACATATGCAGATGTCATGGTGACAGCCAGACAGGCAGGTGACAGCCAGACAGGCAGGTAGAAGCCACATTTGCTTAATAAAAGATCATGATGGGAGGGCCAGTCTTCTGCAAGCTATGTAAATGGCACACCTGGTCAAACCAATCCCCTGGGCCTTATGTAAATCAATCAGTGCCTCCTCAAGCCTCTGTATAAAATCAGTCAAATCTCACCCCAACCTGGAAACTGTTTTGGGCGACCGCTTTCTCAACAATGAGGAAACTTTCTTTCTCCTCTTCTTTGTCTATTAAACTTTCCACTCCTAAACCCGCTCCTCATGTGTGTCCGCGTCCTAAGTTTTCCTGGCGCGAGACAATGAACCCTGGCTATTTACCCCAGACAATGGAGCCATTTCAAAATTTCACTAGACGTCTTGTATTTTATCTGGCAACTCTACCAGACTGTGAATTCCGTCAGCTGTTCTCTATTTGGTATTTTAATTAATTCAAGCTAGCAATTAATGGCACAAAATGAGAAATGGTACAAAATGTTGTCTCTGGAATTTTGGTCCATTTTAACTCTCCTGGAGATATTTATAAACTGTACTTTCTGAATATTCTGATACTATGAGCAGCAGGAGACAGGATGCCCACATTTTCCAGAGAATGGGACACGCAGATATATCTAACACTCAACAAAATTATATTTATGTTTGCTATGGTCCGAATGTTTATGTCCCCCCAAACTCATATGTTGAAATCCTCACCCGAAAGGTGATGGTATTAGGAGATGGGACCATTAGGAGGTGATTACGTTTTGGGGATGAAGCACTTGATAATGAGATTTGTGCACATATAAAAGAGGCTCAAGGGATCCTCTTTGCCCTTTCCAGCATGTGAGGACAGAGCAAGAAGGTGCCACCTAGAGCCAGAACACAGTTCCTCCCCAGATGTAGAATCTGCTTTGATCTTGAACTTCCCAGTCTCCAGAACTACGGCAATGAATTTCTATTATAAGCTACTTAGTTTATGGTATTTTCTTATAACAGATCAAGTAGACTAAGACAATGTTATAATTTGAGTCTGGGTGGCTCATGACTATCTGGTTTCACAGTGAATTTGAGTATTCACTGGCTATATCTATCTAATTAAAAATGATGGTCAATTCTGTGATTTTTGTATTTATTTAAATCAGGCACATAGCTATTCAAAGTCCCTCCCAAGGCCTCTCGTTTTTAGTTTCAAATATCTGGTTATTCTTCACATAACCTACTTTTCTCTTGTTACTCACTTTTTCACTTTCTGCAGTACTCTACTAAGTTCAGATCCCCTCCCCCCCCCTTTTTTTTGAGACAGGGTCTGGTTCTGTCACCCAGGCTGGAGCGCAGTGGTATGATCTTGGCTCACTGCAACCTCTGCCTCCTGGATTCAAGCGATTCTACTGCTTCAGCCTTCAGAGTAGCTGAGATTACAGGCACGTGCCCCCATACCTGGCTAATTTTTCTATTTTTAGTAGAGACAGGGTTTCACAATGTTGACCAGGCTGATCTGGAACTCCTGAGCTCAACTAATCTGCCCCCACTCGGCCTCCCAAAGTGCTGGGATTACAGGTGTGAGCCACCATGCCCAGCCCAGACCCCTTTTCTTATGTATAAAAGCTATTAAAGATATCTGATTAGAAACAAAACACAATTGCAATTGTGATGGATAGAATATGTATGCTGGTGTGTGACTTTCCTAACGTGGCTTCTTTTGCTCTGATAGATACAATGTTTTTATACTTTTTGACAGTTAAGAGTACCTATTATATCAGTACCATGGAATTGCCTTATAGTTTATACCCATTAACAAGTCCAAAAGAGAAATAAAAGGAATTGATTCTTTGTCATTTATTTATTTAGACAACAAATATTTACTCTGAGCCTGGTGGATACAGCCGTGAAGAACAGCTAGTCTTAATTTGTGCCATCCTTTTCCCAGAGCTTTGCATATCAGTCATTCAACCCTCACAACACTCTTATGCATGGGTACTTCAGTAATCATTATCTATTTTACAGATGAGGAATCAAAGCAAGGAGAGGTTGAATATCTTGCCCAAGGGCACTTTCTTAGAAAACGTCAGCAGGACACAGGCAGTTTAGTGTTAAAGCCCATTCTCTTAAAATTCACAGCTTCTAGGTGAACAAAACAGGCATGGTCCTTCCCTTAGGTAGCTTACAATATTCTCAGGTGCTATTTCCTTTAATAAGATATGCTATGTGCAAAACCCAAGACTGATTAATACAAGGTAAATATACCTACTGACTTTCAAAGCATGCGAATATGTATTTGCACTCGTTAGTTTTTCATCTTATTATAGGGGAGTAATATTTTAAAAATCACAGATATTAGTAAAATATTCAGTAATTATGGTCTAGTCTAAAGTGCTTATGTTTGATTATGCATATTTGTTAAATATGGATAAAAATCCAGAAAGACATTAAAATACAAATCAATCTGAGCCTTATATGAAACTATTCTTATTAATGTGACATCTATGCAGAAACATTTCATAAATACTTACAAGTTAAAAGGTTAACATAATTTAGTAAACCATGACTGAGTATCACCCATTCAGCCTGTTTTCCATGCTAAGAATTCTTAGAATTCCTCTGAAACGATCCAAAACAACAGAAAAAGAGGGACTCCTCCTTAACTCATTTTATGAGACCAGCATCATCCCGATACCAAAACCTGGCAGAGACACAAGAAAAAAAGAAAATTTCAGGCCAATATCCCTGATGAACATCGATGCAAAAATCCTCAATAAAATACTGGCAAACCGAATCCAGCAGCACATCCAAAAGCTTATCCACCATGATCAAGTCAACTTCATCCCTGGGATATAAGGCTGGTTCAACATATGCAAATCAATAAACGTAATCCATCATATAAACAGAAGCAATGACAAAAACCACATGATTATCTCAATAGATCCAGAAATTCAGCATTCCGGGACTGTTAGCCAAGCTGTGTCTCATAATAGCTCCCTTGAGTAGTCAGTGAGAACCCTGCCCATAAAGGATGTCCTGGTTCTGAAGAAAATATGAAGGCAAGGGTTTTACTTACTTCTTAAAGCTTGGTAAACGGTCATAGATATTACTTTTGTGGTGTTTCAGTTTGTGTCTTCTAGAGCTTTTGTAAGTTATTGACTTTCTCAGTACAGAGGTCATGGTATTTCTCATTTTTTACAAAGACATTTTGCTTAGAGGGCATGGATAAAATTAAATTTGGTGGTTGGGAAAGATGGAGATATTATGGATTTAGGGAAAAATTATCCAAAAATATTTACTCAGAAGAGGAAGAAATCTAAAGGCAAAATATAATAAAAAAATTCATGTTCAACTAATTTACATGATTAGTTTAGGTGACTAATTATGGACTGAAATTATTACAACATTTATTTTTGGCTATTATTGCATAATAAGGAAAATGGAGAGGCCTTTGGAGAGCTGTTACAGTGAGTCCCTGGCTGACACTTAGTTCTAGTCTTTCTCAGTTCCTTGAAATGAACCTGATTTGATGAAATGGTTTGATAAGACAGATTTGCTTCCAAATAACCCAGTGGAGGGGTTGGAGGGAAATGAGTGGGTGTATAGATTAAACAAGATTGACCACATGTCGATAATTATTGAAATGGGCTTAATGGGTTCATTTTGTTCTTTCTTCTTTTGTAATTTTGAAACATTTCATAATAAAAGTTTGAAAAGAGAAGTCACTTTTAAAAATAGATTTTACTATTTAAAGCAATTTTAGGTACACTGCAAAACTGAGCAGGAGGTACAGAATTCCCACACACCCACTGCCCCCACACATGCACATCCTCCTCCGCTGTTAACATCCTGCACCCGATTGGTACATTTGTCACAACTGATGAACCGGCATTGGGTACATAATTATCGATGCAACTCAGTAGTTTAAATTGGGGCTCGCTCTTGGAGTTCTTTGTTATATGGATTATGGCAAATGTATAATGACAAGTATTCACCATTTAGTATCATATGCAACAGTTTGACTGCCCTTAAAATCCTTCTGCCTATTCATGCCTCCCTCCCCACAACCGCTGATAGTCACTAATCTTTCACTGTTCCTATAGTTTTGTCTCTTCCAGGATGTTGTATAGTTAGAACTGCAAATCACTTTTTAAAATTTCAACTCAAAGTTAAAATCAGTATATTGTACATTACATCCATTATTTATGTCCAAACAAAAAGAATGCGAATATAATGAAATTTGAAAATTTAAAACTTTTCCACTAAAGGATATGTGGGAAATATGTAAAAAAACCATCTCAGAGAGTGGTGCCTTCATCTCAGGAATGAATACAAATCAATCTCCTTTTTGTCTCCTTGAATCGGCTTATCTTCTCTTTGTCTTCGAAGATGCCTCCTGGTTTTCTTAGATTCCTTTAGATTGAAGACTCGCATTGGACCTGTTTTCTTGTCTTGGCCTTAACCCTCTTCTTAAAGCCCCACTCCATGTGAGTGACCCAGGTAAGATCTTTGCTCATCTGTCCCTACAGTGGAACGGATATCAGGCTTAGAAATAAGCCAGGCCACACATTTCCTAGCTAAGAAAAGACCCCATTTGTTCTTTTCATGTTTGCAATGACGGATAATATAATCAGAAGAAAATTTTTTTGAATGTTAACTTAAACTCCTTGTCTAATTTAATCTTCACAACAGCCTTAACAAGGTAAGCGTTCATATTGTTGGTATTTTGTAGATAAGGACACTGAGGCAGCCAGGCATTAAGTAAGTGGTCACATTTGCCCTGCTGGCACGAGGCACATGAACCCTGGAATGGGAATTAGAAGGCCATGCTCTCTTTTTGCTTCTGCCGCAAAGCAGGTGTGCTCATTCAAAAGGGAGCACTTCAAAAGGAGACATGCCTAGGCTTCATTGAATCTCTTTTTGGGGCATTGTTTTCAGTTAAATTTTCAACTAAATGAAATGTGTTCAAATAGTGTAAAGTATATCTCTTTACCTTTTTTCTTTCATTCTTACATCCCTATCTGAGTCCATTTTGTGTTGCTATAACAGAATACCTAAGATGGGGTAATTTATAAAGAAAAATTGTTTATTTGGCTTATAGTTCTGGTGACTGGAAATCCAGGATTAGGCAGCTGCATCTTGTGAGAGCCCCAGGCTGCTTCCACTCCTGGCAGAAAGTGGAAGAAGTAGGTGTATACAAAGAAGTGACATGCGAGAAAGGAGGCAAGAGAACAAAACCAAAGAAGCCAGACTCTTTTTAATAACCACCTTCTTGGGAACTAATCCATTCTCGAGACAGCAAGAGCTAACTCGCTACTGAGCCATGCACCAAGCCATTCATGAGGGATTCACACCATCACTCAAACACTTCCTGATTAGAGACCCTGAGCCAGATCTGCCTAGTTAAACTGCACGTAAATCCTGGGATAATTTGGAGGTTTTTTTGTTTTTGTTTTTTTTGTGTTTTTGAGACAGTGTCTCACTCTGTTGGCCAGGCTGGAGTGCAGTAGCATGATCATAGCTCCCTCCTGGGCTCAAGCGATCCTTCCACCTTAGCCTTCCAAGTAAGTGGGGGCACAGGCACAAGCCACCACTTCTGGCTTATTTATTTATTTATTTACTGAGACAGCGTCTGGCTTTGTCGCCCAGGCTGGAGTGCAGTGTGTGATCTTGGCTCACTGTAACCTCTGCCTCCCAGGCTCAAGTCATCCTCCCACCTCCTGAGTGAGCCTATTTATTTTTATATTTTGTAGAGACAAGATCTTCCTATGTTGCCCTGGCTGGTCGCAAACTCTTAGCTATAGCAATCCTCCTGCCTCAGCTTCCCAAAGTGCTGTGATTATAAGCATGTGCCACCATGCTCATTTGTTATGCATCAATAGGAAATTAATTTTACAAGTGAGAAAACTGAGGTATGAAAAAGTTGAGTGAATTGTCCAAGATCACTCAGCTAACAAGTTGTATTGCTGGGCAAAGATCATAATGTATTTTCTTTTCATTTGAACATCATTTATCAGTGGCACATTTTCTTGGTCACTTTTTGAAGACTTTTTCATGGGGGTGGGGTTAATAATATAAAAAAGATGCTTGTTACATTATTATTTTTTTTTTTTGAGACCGAGTCTCACTGTGTCCCTCAGGCTGGAGTACAGTGGCACAATCTCGGCTCATTGCAACCTCCGCCTCCTGGGTTCTAGAGATTCTCCTGCCTCAGCCTCCCGAGTAGCTGGGACTATAGGCACCCACCACCACGCCTGGCTAATTTTTGTATTTTTAGTAGAGACAGGGTTTCACCATATTGGCCAGGCTGCTCTTGAACTCCTGACCTTGTAATCTGCCCACCTCGGCCTCCCAAAGTGCTGGGATTACAGACGTGAGCCACAGCGCCCGTCCTTGTTATACTTTTAATTAGTAAAGTTATTCATTGTTCATTGAGCAATGAAGAATTTGGGTTTTTAATTTTTTTAGTCTTGATTCCAAAAGAATAATTACATAAGAATTGGAAAAAATGACGGTAAATTTAAAATGACTTTCGTATATTTGCGACATGCATGGTACCTAATTGGGGAGTGAACACATGTTCTTAGTGCGATCCTGGTTTATGCCTGTTTTGTCGTGTAATTATGAATGGTACTCCCTTTTACACTCAAAAGTGGACTATAAATCATATGCTCACTGTGGGTAGACCAAGTCAACAAATTAGTAGTTGTTTATTTCCTACAACATCAGCTCCCATTTCAACCAGAGCTACCTGCTTGACCCCTAAAGGCTTAAACTCATTCATGTGCATTCTCAGATTGGTTCTGGCCAGATCAGGCCATCCTTAGCACATCCTCATGTAGAACACCTTCAGCTCAGAATCAAGCTACACCTTTGGGCTCATTCTCCTTCTAGTGGAAAGAGTGGGCTTTGCAGTGAAACAAATCTTCTCTTAAACCACAGCTCCATGACTTACCAGCCACAGGATTAGGCTAATTTATTTACACCAGGCTGTCCAATAGCACTTTTGCTATAATGGAAATGTTCTAGAACAGCACTGTCCAATATGGCAGCCACTAACCATATGTGGCTACTGAGCCCTTGCAGTGGGGCTAGTGCTAATGATGAACTTGATTCTTGGTCTTATTTAATTTAAATAAAATTGAAAAATAAATTGTCACTTATGGCCAGTGGCTGCCATAGTAGACAGTGCAGAATCTTTTTGAGCCTCAGCATACTCTCTTAAAAAATAGAGATAATAATATCTACTTTCCAAGGTTGTAAAAGATTTCAGAAAATGTTTCACATATGATTGGCACTCAATTTTCATTACGTTTATGTAGACTGCTAGATTCTGTTCTCCAACTAAGATGACCAGCTCTTTGTCTCTTTACCTTGACATCTCCTTCTCTCTCACTGCCCTTTTATTCAATCAGTCATCCCCGGCGTTAGTGTTCTGGATTTTGACCATTCTAATAAGTGTATAGGGCTATCTCGTTGTTGTTTAATTTCATTTAATTTAATGATTACATATGATGTGGAACATCTTTTCATATGCTTATTTGCCATCTATAGCTCTTCTTTGGGAGGTATCTGTTAAGGTCTTTGGCCCATTTTTTTTAAAATTATAATTTAAGTTCTGGGATACATGTGCAGAACGTGCACATGAGATAATGTCTTTTGCAGGGATGGATGGACCTCAAAGCCATTATCCTCAGCAAACTAATGCAGGAACAGAAAACAAAACAGTGCATGTTCTCACTTATAAGCGGGAGCTGAATAATGAGAACACATGGACACAGGGAGGGGAACAACACACACAGGGGCCTATTGGTATGGGGGCGGGGGAGGGAGAGCATCAGGATAATACCTAGGCGATGGGTTGATAGGTGCAGCAAACCACCATGGTGCATGTTTACCTATGTAACAAACCTGCACATCCTGCACATGTGTCCCACAGCTTACAATAAAATAAAAGAAAAAGAAAAAAAATTTTAAAAGACTATGTGCTCTGAAATCTGATAACCAGTATGGATATAGAACCCAGCTGTGGTGCTTTGGGCATCTCTTGGAGAACATTCTGAGCCTCGTTTTTCTCATCAGTAAAATGAGTGTAGCCATATTTTAATGTTTTATGTTGTTAGTTTTGTATGTATTTATACTTTAGTTAGCTGTCTAGTAAGTTTTATTTTATTAACGCCTTTTTGTAGGTTCTGCTCTTTACAAATAATACTTTTGTTTCCTTTATGAAGCCTCTACAGGTATTATCAAAGAGAAGATGAGAACCTTGAACTGAGAGGACCTCACAAGCCTGTAGTGAAGGAAGACCCTGTTGCCAAGATGAGGTGAGATTGGTCTCTCCTTAATGAATTGTTGACATTCTAGGGAAGGGGCTAGAGATCCAGACCTGTTTGAAGAAATGCCAAGAGTTGGTAAAGCTGGAGGACACATGGCAAAGCACATTCATGGAGGACCACCAAGTGTTAAACTGAAGAAACTAAATCTTCATCAGGTTAGAGATGATGGTGATGTTGAGGAGCTTCAAGGGATGGGTATAAAATCAGAGGCTGACACACACAAATTCAAGAAACAAAGCAGGAACAAGTTGGGAGAGATCGAGCTTTAGATGTGAGCAGGGCCAAGTCACCCAGTGTTCCCCTTATTACTGTGTGCTGGCTGTATGGCAGATGAGTGGTTTAGCCCGGGTGTAAGAACCTGTGTCCCAGCTGGAGGGTGCCTGAACTGATGTGATGTCTGTGCGGGTGTCTAATCCATGGCAGATATATCAGCTGCTTAGCCAGACATTTCCCCATTTGAAGGCTCTTTCTTTACCCTTATCCCTTACCACATTGCTATTTCCAGGTTATAACCTGCAAACCTCTTACTGTTTGTATTAGTCAGAGTTGTCCAGAGAAACAGAACAAATAGGGTATGTGTATGTGTGTGCATGTGTGTGTGTGTGTGTGTGTGAGAGAGAGAGAGAGAGAGACAGGGAGAGAGAGGAGACAGAAATTTTTAATTTTTTTTCTTCAACTTTTATTTTAGGTTCAGTGGTACATGTGCAGGATGTGCAGGTTTGTTACATAGGTAAATGTGTGCCATGATGGTTTGCTGCACAGATCATCCCATCATGTAGGTATTAAGCCTGGCATCCATTAGCTATTCTTCCTGATTCTCTCCCTTTCCCCACACCCCCCTCCAACAGGCCCCAGTGTGTGTTGTTCCCCTCCCTGTTTCCATGTGTTCCACCATTCACCTCCCACTTATAAGTGAGAACATGTGATATTTGGTTTTGCTGAGGATAATGGCTTCCAACTCCATCCATGTCCCTGCAAAGGACATGTTCTCATTCCTTTTTGTGACTGCATAGTATTCTATGGTCTATATGTACCATATTTTCTTTATCCAGTCAATCATTGATGGGCATTTAGGTTGAGTCCATGTCTTTGCTATTGTGAATAGTGCTGCAATGAACATATGTGTGAATGTTTCTTTATAATAGAATGATTTATATGTCTTTGGATATATACCCAGTAATGGGATTGCTGGGTCGAATGGCAGTTCTATTTTTAGGTCTTTGAGGAATCACCACACTGTCTTTCACAATGATTGAACTGATTTACACTACCACTAACAGTGTAAAAGTATTCCTTTTTCTCTGTAACCTCACCAGTATCTGTTCTTTTTTGCCTTTTTTATAGCCGCTCTGACCGCTGTGAGATGTTATCTTTTTTTTTTAGACAGAGTCTCGCTCTGTCATGCAGGCTGGAGTGCAGTGGCATGACCTTGGCTCACTGCAGCCTTCGCCTCCTGGGTTTCAGCGATTCTCCTGCCTCAGCCTCCCAGGTAGTTGGATTACAGGCATGCGCCACCACACCCAGCTAATTTTTGTATTTTTAGTAGAGATGGTGTTTCACCATGTTGGCCAGGCTAGTCTTGAACTCCTGATCCCAGGTGATCTGCCCACCTTGGCCTCCCAAAGTGCTAGGATTACAGGAGTGAGCCACTGCACCCAGCCTGTGAGATGGCATCTTATTGCAGTTTTGATTTTCATTTCTCTAATGACCAGTGAAGTTGAGCTTTTTTTCATATATTTGTTGGCTGCATGTATGTCTTCTTTTGAGAAGTGTCTGTTCATGTCCTTTGCCCACTTTTTGATGGGTTTTTTTTTTTTTTCTTGTAAATTTCTTTGAGTTTCTTATAGATTCTGGATATTAGACCTTTGTCAGATGGATAGATTGGAAAATTTTTCTCTCATTCCGTAGGTTGCGTGTTCACTCTGATGATAGTTTCTTTTGCTGTGCAGAAGCTTTTTAGTTTAATTAGATCCCCTTTGTCAATTTTTGCTATTGTTGCAATTGCTTTTGGTGTTTTCTTTATGAAATCTTTGCCTGTGCCTATGTCTTGAATGGTATTGCCTAGATTTTCTTCTAGGGTTTTTATGGTTTTGGGTTTTAACTTTAAGTCTGTAATCCATCTTGAGTTAATTTTTATATAAGGTGTAAGGTAGGGGTTCAGTTTCAGTTTTGTGCATATGGCTAGCCAGCTCTCCTAGTACCATTTATTAATTAGGGAATCCCTTTCCTGTTGCTTGTTTTTGTCAGGTTTGTAGAAGATCAGATGGTTGTAGGTGTGTAGTCTTATTTCTGTGATTTCTATTCTGTTCCATTCGTCTATGTGTCTGCTCTTGTACCAGTATTATGTTGTTTTGGTTATTGTAGCCTTGTAGTATAGTTTAAAACCAGGTAGTGTGGTGCCTCCAGCTTGGTTCTTTTTGCTTAGGATTGCCTTGGCTATATGGGCTCTTTTTTTGGTTCATATGAATTTAGAATGGTTTTTTCTGATACTGTGAAGAATGTCAATGGTAGTTTAATGTGAATAGCATAAAACCTATAAATTACCTCGGGCAATGTGGCCATTTTCACAATATTTATTCTTCCTATCCATGAGGATGGAATGTTTTTCCATTTGTTTGTGTCATCTCTGATTTCTTTGAGCAGAGGTTTATAGTTATCCTTGAAGAGGTCCTTCATGTTCCTTGTTAGCTGTATTCCTATATATTTTATTCTGTTAGTAGCAATTGTGAATGAGAGTTCATTCCTGATTTGGTTCTCTGCTTGCCAGTTGTTGTTGTATGGAAATGCTAGTGATTTTTGCACATTGATTTTATATCCTGAGACTTTGCTCAAGTTATCAGTTTAAGAAGCTTTTTGAGCTGAGATGATGGGGTTTTCTAGATATAGGATCATGTCATCTGCAAACAATGATACATATATTTTTTTCAGATAGAGTCTCACTCTGTTGTCCAGGCTGGAGTGCAGTGGCATGAGCTTGGCTCACTGCAACCTTTGCTTCCAGGCTCAAGTGATTCTCTTGCCTCAGCATCCCAAGTAGCTGGGAGTATAGGCATGCGCCACCATGCCTGGCTAATTTTTATATTTTAGTAGAGATGGAGTTTTGCCATGTTGGGCAGGCTGGTCTTAAATTCCTGACTTCAGGTGATCCACCCACCTCGTCCTCCCAAAGTGCTGGGATTACAGGCGTGAGTCACCACACCCGCCTGAAAACAAAGATAATTTGGCTTCCTCTTTTCCTATTTGAATGCCCTTTATTTCTTTTTTCTCTTGCCTGATTGCCCTGGCCAGAACATCCAATACTCTGTTGAATAGGAGTGGTGAGAGAGGGCATCCCTGTCTTGAGGTGTTTTTCAAGGGGAAGTCTTCTAGCTTTTGTCCATTTAGTATGATATTGGTTGTGGGTTTGTCATGCTCTTACTATTTTGAGGTACGTTCCTTCAACACTTAGTTTATTGAGAGTTTTTAACATGAAGGGATGTTGAATTTTATTGAAGGCCTTTTCTGCATCTGTTGAGATAATCGTGGGGTTTTTGTGTTTAGTTCTGTTTATGTTATGAATATGAATCACATTTATTGATTTTTGTATGTTGAACCAAACTTGAATCCCAAGGATGAAGCCAATTTGATAACGGTGGATAAGCTTTTTGATGTACTGCTGGATTTAACTATCCAGTATTTACTGAGGATTTTTACATTGATGTTCATCAAGAATATTGGCTTGAAGTTTTCTTTTTTTGTTGTATCTCTGCCAGGTTTTGGTATCAGGATGATGCTGGCTTCACATAATCAGTTAGGCAGGAGTCCCTTCTTTTCAATTTTGTTTGGCATAGTTTCAGTAGAAATGGTACCAACTCTTCTTTGTAAATCTGGTAGAATTCAGCTGTGAATATATCTGGTTCTGGGTTTTTTTCTTTTTTTTTTTGGCTTGTAGACTACCTCATTTCCAGAACCAATTATTGGTCTATTCAAGGATTCTGTTTCTTCCTGGTTCAGTCTTAGGAGGATTTATGTGTCCAGGAATTTATCCATTTCTTCTAGATTTTTCTACTTCATGTGCATAGAGGTGTTTATAGTATTCTCTGATGGTTGTTTGTATTTCTGTGGGGTCAGTGGTAATAATATCCTCCTTATCATTTCTGATTGTGTTTATTTGATTCTTCTCTCTTTTCTCATTATGTAGCCTACTGCTCTATTTTATTAATTTTTGGGAAAAAAAAACCCAGTTCCTGGATTCATTGATTTTTTTGTAGGGGTTTTCGTGTCTCTGTCTCCTTCAGTTCAGCTCTGATCTTGGTTATTTCTTGTCTTCTGCTAGCTTTGGGGTTTGTTTTCTCTTGGTTCTTTTGTTCTTTTGTTCTTTTGTTATGATGTTAGGTTGTTAACTTGAGATCTTTCTAGCTTTTTGATGTGGGCATTTAGTGCTATAAATTTTCCTCTTAACACTGATTTAGCTGCATTCCAGAGACTCTGGCACATTGTCTTTGTTCTCATTAGTTTCAAAGAACTTGATTTCTGCCTTAATTTTATTATTTACCTAGGTGTTGTTCAGGAGCAAGTTGTTCAATTTCCATGTAGTTATGTGGTTTTGAGTTAGTTTCTTAAATTTGAGTTCTAATTTGATTGCACTGTGGTCTAAGAGACTGTTTGTTATGATTTCAGTTCTTTTGCATTTGCTGAGGAGTGTTTTGCTTCTGAATATGTGATCAGTTTTAGTTTAAGTGCTGTTGGCAATGAGAAGAATGTATATTCTGTTGTTGTGGGGTGGAGAGTTCTGTAGATAGCTATTAGGTCCAATTGATCCAGAGCTGAGTTCAGGTCCTGAATATCTTTGATAATTTTCTGTCTCAATGATCTGTCCAGTATTGTCAGTGGGGTGTTAATGTCTCCCACTCTTATTGTGTGGTAGTCTAAGCTCTTTGTAGATCTCTAAGAACTTGCTTTATGAATCTGGGTGCTCTTATATTAGGTGTATATATATTTAAGATGGTTAGCTTTTCTTGTTGAATTGATCCCTTTACCATTATGTAATGCCTTTCTTTTTCTTTTTTTTTTTTTATCTTTGTTGGTTTAAAGTTTATTTTGTCAGAAATTAGGATTGTGACCCTTGCTTTTTTCTGTTTTCCATTTGCTTAGTAAATTTTCTTCCCTCTGTTTATTTTGAGCCTATGTGTGTCTTTGTACTTGAGATGTGTCTCTTGAAGAGAGCATACCCATGAGTCTTAGCTCTTTATCTAGCTTGCCATTCTGTGTTTTAATTGGGGCATTTAGCTCATTTACATTTAAAGTTAGTATGGTTATGTGTGAATTTGATCCTGTCATCATGATGCTGGCTGGTTATTTTGCAGACTTGTTGATACAGTTGCTTCATGGTGTCACTGATCTGTGTGCTTCAGTGTGTTTTTGTAGTGGCTGGTACCAGTTTTTCCTTTGGATATTTAGTGCTTTCTTCAGGAGCTCTTGCAAGGCAGGCCTGATGGTGATGAATTCCCTCAGCATTTGCTTGTCTGAAAAAGATTTTATTTCTCCTTTGCTTATGAAGCTTAGTTTGGCCAGATATGAAATTCTGGGTTTAAAATTCTTTTCTTTAAGAAAGTTGAATATTGGCCCCCACTCTCTTTTGATTTGTAGGGTTTCTGCTGAGAGATCTGCTGTTAGTCTGATGGATTCCCTTTGTAGGTGACCTGGTCCTTCTCTTTGGCTGCCCTTAACATTTTTTCTTTCATTTTGACCTTGGCAAATCTGATAATTATATGTCTTGGGGTTGGTCTTTTTGTGGAGTATTTTATTGGGTGATATGATTTGGCTGTGTCCTCACCCAAATATCATCTTGTATTGCAGCTCTTATGATTCCCATGTGTCATGGGAGGGACGCGGTGGGAGGCAACTGAATCATGGGGGCAGGTCTTTCTCATGCTATTCTCATGATAATGAATAAGTTTCATGATATCTGAGATCTGATGGTTGTGTAAAGGGGAGTTCCCCTACACTTGCTCTCTTGCCTGCTGCCATGTAAGATGTGACTTTGCTCCTCATTCATCTTCTGCTTTGATTGTGAGTCCTCCCCAGCCACGTGGAACTGTGAGTCAATTAAACCTCTTTCATTATAAATTACCCAGTCTCAGGTATGTCTTTATTAGCAGTATGAGAACAGACTAATACACTGGGGTTCTCTGCAGTTCCTGAATTTGAATGTTGGCCTGTCTTGCTAGGTTGGGATGTGCTCCTGGATGATATCTTGACGTATGTTTTCTAACTTGGTTCCATTCTTCCCATCTCTTTCAGGTACCCCACTCACTTGTAGGTTTAGTCTTTCTACATAATTCCATATTTCTGAGAGGTTTTGTTCATTCTTTTTTATTCTTTTTTCTCTATTCTTGTCTGTCTGTCTTATTTCAGAAAGACAGTCTTCAGGCTCTGAGATTCTTTCCTCTGCTTGGTCTGTTCTGCTATTGATACTTATGATTGCATTGTGAAGTTCTTGTACAGTGTTTTTCAGCTCCATCAGATCAGTTGTTTTTCTCTCTAAATTGGCTATTCTGGCTTTCAGCTCCTGTATTGTTTTATCATGATTCTTAGCTTATTTGCATTGGGTTACAAAATACTTCTTTAGCTCACTGAAGTTTGTTATTACCCACCTTCTGAAGCTTACTTCTGTCAATTCAGCCATTTCAGCTTCAGCCCAGTTCTGTGCCCTTGCTGGAGAGGGGTTGCGGTCATTTGGAGGAGAAGAGGCACTCTGGCTTTCTGAGTTTCATCACTTTAGCATTAATTTTTGTCTCATCTTTGTGGGCTTATCTACCTTTGATCTTTGAGGTTGCTGACCTTTGAATGGGGTTTTTGTGGAGTCTCTTTTGTTGATGTTGTTGTTGTTGTTTTCTGTTTATTTGTTTTTCTTTTAACAGTCAGGCTACTCTATCATAAGGCTGCTGTGGTTTGCTGGAGGTCCACTCCAGACCCTATTACCTCAGTTTTTCCCATACCTGGAGGTACCACCAATGAAGGCTGTGAAACAGCAAAGATGGCAGTCTGCTCTTTCCTCTGGAAGCATCATCCCAGGGGTGTACTGACCTGTTGCTGCCCAAACGTACCTGTAGGAGGTGGCCGGAGACCCCTCTTGGGAGGTCTCACCCAGTCAGGAGGAACAGGATCAGTGACCAGCTTAAAGCAGTCTGGTTGCTTTTTGGTATAGCAGGTGTGCTGTTCTAGGGGGTGCCCTTCCTTCTCTGGACGATTTGTATTCTCCAGAGCTGGCAGGCTGGAATGGCTGAGTCAACCAAACTGCAGAGATGGTGCCTGCCCATCCTCCCTGGGAACTCAGACCCATCTCAGGCAGATTCCAGTCTGTTGCCATCAGCTGGCTGGAATTCTAAGCCAGTGGGACTTAACTTGTGGGGTGTCATGGTTGTGGGATGTGCAGAACGAGGCTGCTTGGCTCCCTGGATTCAGACCCCTTCCTAGAGATATGTATGAATGGATTTCTCACCTCACTGGGAATCCTGGGGCTGCAGTATATAAAACTCTGTGTGTGCCTGAGTGGCTGATCTACTAAGACTCCACACAGCTCTGTGTATTGGACCCAAGGCCCGGTGGTGTGGGCTCATGAGGTGATCTCCTGATCCACAGATTGCAAAGATCCATGGGAGAAGCATGGTTTCCCAGACCGTGTTGCACAATCACTCACTGCTTCCCTTGGTGGGGACGGGAGTTCCTTTGGCTTTATGCTACTCCTGGGTGGGCTGTTGTCCTCCCCAACCCCAAAAGCTTTTTTTCATTGTTTGTGGTTTGAGTTGTTTGCCTAGTTAGTCCCAGTGTAAGAACCTGGATATTTCAGTTGAAGGTGCTGAATTTACTCACCCCTTTTCATTCCTTTCCATGAGTGCTGACCGCAGCGCCTTCTAATTGGCCATTTTGGATCCCCCACTCAAGAGATTTATTTCAAGGAATTAGCTTAGCTGACACAATTGTGGAGGAGACAGGCAGGTCTGAAATCTGCAGGGTAGGCAGGCTGGTTGTAGACTCAGGGAAGAGGTGATGCCGCAGTATGAGTACAAAAGCAGTCTGCTGGCAGAATTCCTTCTCTGGGGGAGTTCAGTCTTGTTCTTTCTTGTTTTTTAGTTTTGTTTTGTTTTTCTTGTTTTGAGACAGGGTCTCACTCTGTCACACAGGCTGGAGTGCAGTGGTGTGATCTCAGCTCACTGCAACCTCTGCCTCCTGGGTTCAAGCAATTCTCATGCCTCAGCCTCCTGGGTAGCTGGGATTACAGGTGTGTACCACCATGCCTGGCTAATTTTTTTTGTATTTTTAGTAGAGACGAGGTTTCACCAGGTTGGCCAGGCTGGTCTCGAACTCCTGATCTCAAGTGATCTGCCCGCCTTGGCCTCCCAAAGTTCTGGGATCACAGGCATGAGCCAGAGTGCACGGCCAAGTTCAGTCTTCGTCTATTAAAGCCTTCAACTGATTGGATGAGGCCCACCCACATTATGGAGGGTAGTCTGCTTTGCTCAGTCTACTGTTGTAAATGTTAATCTCATCTAAAAGAAATCTTTATAGAAACATTTAGAATAATGTTTGACCATGTATCTGGGTACTGTGGCTCAGCCAAGTGGACAGGTAAAATTAACCATCACTCTACTCTTTCTTTTTCTTTCGCCAAAAGCCTCCTAGCATCTTCTACCAGTTTGCATATTATAAAGAGAATTAGGTTGATTCTTGGAAACTTGAAACTCATCTTAGTGATGTGTATTAGTTCTTATGCTCTCATTATTAGACTCTCACATTAGCATGGCCTAATTTCTACTACCAGGAATAAGATGTGTGCTGTGCTAATGGGAAATGATATATTTAGTGTTTTGTATGATCATTCTTTAGGGTCTGTGTCCCTTTAATTGGATGAGAGCCCACGCGGAGTGGGTAGATAATAGTGTCCTTTCTGCTTACCCCTGCATTAGGAATAAAAGAGAAAGAAAATATGTGTGTGCTCAGGAAAAAAATCCATTATTTTTGATATTCAAGATATTATAATCAATATAATAACTTTCAAGTACCTTCCAGTTAGTAAGCTTTTCAGAGTATAAATTAATTCCATATCAGCTGAAACCAGTGGCTTTTCCCATGTTGGGTTCAATTGTAGTTATGGATGACATAAGCTTTTCCATCAAGTGTAATAACTAAGTTCTAATTTTGTTGGCCAGTGTAACTTTAACACAATAACAAAACATAATTAAAAATAAGGGCTATTTTTTTCAGACCTTATATAAATATATTGTGCTTAGCAGATAGATAACATTTTTGAATTAGAGGAGTTTTAATTAATTCAATGCTTAAGTACCACAAGCAATTTAATTTTCACAATATGTTAAGTATCCATATTCAGTTTACAAAATACCACAATTGTGTGAAATTGATCTTTTGATTCATTTGATTCATCATGACATTTCTCTTTGTTACATGAAAAAATATAACATTTTGAAGTCAATCTATGTTTCCTTCCAAGATTAAGAAAATGGCAAATGATGTAGACCCTTTAAACATATGGACCAAGTCTCCCATTTCTCCAAACAAGAGACTTATGATATTTTGGTTTGTCTGAGGAAGAAAGCTGGCTGTTGCTACCAGGGTGAACTAGGGAATAGCCTGGTCTACTCCAGTTGAGGAACAGCTATAAGGTCTCTTTGGTGCTCTGTTGGTTCTTTTAGCAATAAGAAGGGCAAGTGATCATGAAAGGACTATACTTCATTCTATTTTCTGTAGCTCTTTGAGTGGTTTATGAACATAGCCCATAATAGCATAAGCTGTTATGGAACAGCTTACACTTGTGACAAAGAGAATTCAAAGCCATATAGTTTACAAAAAAATAAATACAAATAGACCTAAACATATAAAGAGAATATGCAAATTAAGGGCATGCAAATTAAAATTATACTAACATACAATATTTCACCCTGATAGGCAGAAAGCCAAAGGTGCAATAGTTCATTCTGTGGGGGAGACTTTGGAGAAACAGTCACTATTGCTTGTTGCTGTTAGGATTGCAAAATGGTATAACATGTGTGGCAGGGACACTGACAATATCTAGAAAACAGTGAAATGCATTTATCTTTGGTGCAAGTTATTTTATTGTCTCTTCTCATACCTCTTATCCATTTTTTTGCCCTTCCCCACACTGCTCTGGACCATGAGATACTACTAACCCTTTTGGAAGGCCTCACTCATGTTTCCTTGCAACTGCCTTAAACCACTACAATAAATGAGTAGTTTAACAGACTGTTCAATTGGTGGTGCCATGGATTAAGTCCACTAGCCATTGTGGGATTCTAGCCTCTTGTCTTTCATTAAACCTCTAAAGTTCTCACATGCTGAGGCGAAAAAGTTTCCTAGAGTTCTGAAATACAGGTCTTAAATTCCTGGTCTCTGTCACAGACCAATTGCATCAGAATCTCACGTGGGAGGGATAGCAATCTGTTGTTTTCAGACTCACTGGGTTGGGTAACTACTGATCAAGATACAGCACAGTTTCTCACATTGCTCCATTTGTTCTAGATCACTGAGATGTTAATGTGTAGTCCTCTAAAATAATGACAGCTGGAATAAGGAATAACAGCAACACAAAACTAATGCTCTAACAATAGCGAAACTTTGTGGTGTTTACTATGAGGCAGGTACTGCTGCAAATACTTCACTCATGCTAACCCATTGAAGCTTCACAACTACCCAATAAAGTAGGTGCTTTCACTATTGCAACTTTTCAGATGCAGAAACTAAGGCACAGGACGATTAAGTGACTTGTCCAAGATGCCACAGTTACTAGAGGCAGAATTTAAACAAAGGAGGCCATATGGCTCTGGAGTTTGTGTACTAAAACTCCTGTGGTCTAACATTTTTGGGAAATTCTGCTCTTTTTTTCGGATTTATAATGTAATAATATATTGGTGCAAGCTTTGAGAGGTATCTATAAATAATCCCTCTTGTAAGTAATTTTATTTCTCCTTCGCTTATGAAGCTTAGTTTGGCTGGATGTGAAATTATGGGTTGAAAATTATTTCTTTAAGAATGTTGAATATTGGCCCCCACTCTCTTCTGGCTTGTAGGGTTTCTGCAGAGAGATCCGCTGTTAGTCTGATGGGCTTCCCTTTGTGGGTAACCCGACCTTTCTCTCTGGCTGCCCTTAACATTTTTTCCTTTATTTCAACCTTGGTGAATCTGACAATTATGTGGCTTGGGGTTGCTCTTCTCGAGGAGTATCTTTGTGGTGTTCTCTGTATTTCCTGAATTTGAATGTTGTTCTGTCTTGCTAGGTTGGGGAAGGTCTCCTGGATAATATCCTGCAGAGTGTTTTCCAACTTGGTTCCATTCTCCCTGTCACTTTCAGGTACACCAATCAATTGTACATTTGGTCTTTTCGCATAGTCCCATATTTCTTGGAGTCTTTGTTCCTTTTCATTCTTTTTTCTCTAATCTTGTCTTCACACTTTATTTCATTAAGTTGATCTTCCATATTTGATATCCTTTCTTCCACTTGATGGATTTGGCTATTGATACTTGTGTATGCTTCACGAAGTTCTCATGCTGCGTGTTTCAGCTCCATCAGGTCATTTATGTTCTTCTCTAAACTGGTTATTCTAGTTAGCAATTCCTCTACCTTTTTTCAAGGTTCTTAGCTTCCTTGCATTGGGTTAGAACATGCTCCTTTAGCTTGGAGAAGTTTGTTATTACCCACCTTCTGAAGCCTACTTCCGTAAATTCATCAAACTCATTCTCCATCCAGTTTTGTACCCTCGCTGGTGAGGAGTTGTGATCCTTTGAAGGAGAAGAGGCGTTCTGGTTTTTGGAATTTTCAGCCTTTTGGTGCTGGTTTTTCCTCATGTTCATGGATTTAACTTCCTTTGGTCTTTGATGTTGGTCACCTTCGGATGAGGTTTCTGTGTGGACTTCTTTTTTGTTGATGTTGATACTATTCCTTTCTGTTTGTTAGTTTTTCTTCTAACAGGCCCCTCTGCTGCATGTCTGCTGGAGTTTGCTGGAGGTCTAGTCCAGACCCTGTATGCCTGGGTATCAACAGTGGAGGCTGCAGAACAGCAAATATTGCTGCCTGTTCCTTCCTCTGGAAGCTTCGTCCCAGAGGGGCACCTGCCAGATGCCAGCGCGAGCTCTCCTGTATGAGATACCTGTTGACTCCTGCTAGGAGGTGTCTCCCAGTCAGGAGGCATGGAAGTCAGGGATCCACTTGAGGAGGCAGTCTGTCCCTTAGCAGAGCTCGAGCGCTGTGCTGGAAGATCCCCTGCTCTCTTCAGAGCTGGCCAGGCCGCAACGTTTAAGTCTACTGAGGCTGTGCCCACAGCCACCCCTTCCCCCAGATGCTCTGTCCCAGGGAGATGGCAGTTTTATCTAGGAGCCTCTGACTGTGTCTGCTGCCTTTCTTTCAGAGATGCCCTGCCCAGTGAGGAGGAATCTGGAAAGGCAGTCTGGCCACAGTGGCTTTCCTGAGCTGTGGTAGGCTCCTCCCATTTTGAACCTCTTGGAGGCTTTGTTTACACTGTGAGGGGAAAGCTGCCTACTCAAGCCTCAGTGATGGCAGCCGCCCCTCCCTTCACCAAACTCTAGCGTCCCAGGTCTACTTCAGACTGCTGTGCTGGCAGGGAGAATTTCAAGCCAGTGGATCTTAGCTTGCTGGGCTCTATGGGGGTGGGATCTGCTGAATTAGACCACTTGGCTCCCTGGCTTCAGCACCGTTTCCAGGGGAGTGAACGGTTCTCTCTCGCTGGTGCTCCAGGTGCCTTTGGGGTATGAAAAAAACCTCCTGCAGCTAGCTTGGTGTCTGCCCAAATGGCCACCCAGTTTTGTGCTTGAAACCCAGGGCCCTGGTGGCATAGGCACCTGAGGGAATCTCCTGGTCTGTGGGTTGTGAAGACCGTGGGAAAAGCCTAGTGTCTGGGCCGGAATGCACCATTCCTCATGGAACAGTCCCTCACAGCTTCCCTTGGCTAGGGGAGGGAGTTCCCTCACTCCTTGTGCTTCCTGGGTGAGGCGACACCCCACCCTGCTTCAGCTCGCCCTCCGTAGGCTGCACCCACTCTCTAACCAGTCCCAAAGAGATGAGCCAGGTACCTCGGTTGGAAATGCAGAAATCACCTGCCTTCTGCATTGATCTTGCTGGGAGCTGCAAACCAGAGTTGTTTCTGTTCGTCCATCTAGCAGTGCTTACTCAATTAGTCTTAAGTCTCCTGCAATTATAACCCAAATTTCAATGGAATAAATAGGCCAGAGACAGAATCTATATAATATAAAAGGTCTTGGTATATGATAAACTATATGCCATGAATAAAGAGGTCACAGCTGAAAGGCTGAGTGGTGGGAACCAAGAAGCAAGTGCTCACCCTCTAGAAGTCTTTGCTGGTGCAGACCAAATGGCGGGTTCTGGAGAAGATTGACCTTAAGTTCATAGACACCACCTCCAAGTTTGGCCATGGCTGCTTCCAGACCATAGAAGAGAAGAAAGCGTTCATGGAACCACTCAAGAAAGATCGAACTGCAAAAGAAGAATGAGCTTAATGCCAGGAACACATTGTGCAGCTCGTGGGGTCTCAATATAAGTTATTTTCCACTGAAAAAAAAAAATAAATAAAATGTTGTGTTGATCTAAAATGTGAAAAAGAAAAAAGGCAAATGCAAATTACCAAAGTACCAATAATGCTCACCTAATTGCAGTTCTTCCTTTCTCTTTGCAAATGATTAGGGACTTGCCTGCAAGGGCAAAGGAAAAGAGATGCAAACTCCCAGGGATGGTAGGAGACAAAGTGAAATACTTAAAATACTGAGAATTGTTTAAGCTGTGTGGTTTTTCTTAAAAACTTCACATGCATTTGCCATTCTATTACATGTATGTATGTATGTATGTATGTATGTATGTATGTATGTATGTATTTATGACAGAGTCTCTCTCTTTCTCCCAGGCTGGAGTGCAGTGGCACGATCTTGGCTCACTGCAACCTCCACCTCCCGAGTTCTAGCGATTCTCATACCTCAGCCTCCCGAGTAGCTGGGATTGTCTGCCACCATGCCTGGCTAATTTTTTTATTTTTAGTAGAGACGGTGTTTCACTGTGTTGGCCAGGCTGGTCTCGAACTCCTGACCTCACGTGATCCACCTGCCTCGGCCTCCCACAGTGCTGGGATTACAGGTTTGAGCCACCGCACCTGGCCTATTTATTTATCTCTTTAAGGCAGAGTCTTGCTCTGTTGCCCAGGCTGGAGTGCAGTGGTGCAATTTCGGCTCACTGCAACCTCTGCTTCCCAGGTTCAAGTGATTCTCATGCTTCAGCCTCCCCAGTAGCTGGGACTACAGGCATGTGCCACCTCTTTTGTATTTTTTAGTGGAGACAAGGTTTTGTCATGATGGCCAGGCTGGTCTCAAATTTCTGACCTCAGGTGATCTGCCTGCCTCAGCCTCCCAAAGTGCTAGGATTACAGATGTGAGTCACTATGCCCAGCCTCTATTATTACATATCTATTTTTGAATATCAAAATGCATTAATGTCCTTGAAGATGTGCCACTTTATCCATGACTTCTTGACTTCTTGGCACACTCCCACACACTCCAAAGGAGCCCTTGAGAAGAATAATGCCCTGTTGCTTCACATGGCTAACACAGAATCAGCTTTTTCCTTGCTGGGCATACTCTTCAGGTCTGCTACCAACTTCCCATGTGGCAAGCTCTCTCTCTCTCACACACACACATACACATACACACACATACATGCACATGTATATATGCACACACATATATATACTATATATACGTTAATACATAAAATCATGCACCACAGAACAACATTTTGGGCCAGGCGCGGTGGCTCACGTGCCTTTGATCCCAGCACTTTGGGAAGCCGAGGCAGGCGGATCACGAGGTCAGGAGATCGGGACCATCCTGGCTAACATGGTGAAACCCCGTCTGTACTAAAAATACAAAAAAAAAAGTTGCCGGGCGTGGTGGCAGGTGCCTGTAGTCCCAGCTACTCCGGAGGCTGAGGCAGAAGAATGGCGTGAACCCAGGAGGTGGAGCTTGCAGTGAGCTGAGATTACGCTACTGTACTCCAGCCTGGGCAACAGAGCGAGACTCCATCTGAAAAAAAAAAACACCATTTTGGTCAAAGACCAACTGCATGAATGATGGTAGTCCCATAAGATTATACCGGAGCTGGAAAATTCCTGTCATCTAGTGATATAGTAGCCTTCCTAATGTCATAGTGCAATGCATTACTCATGTTTGTAATGATGCTGATGCAAATAAACCGACTGAGCTCCCAGTCATATGAAAGACTAGCATATACAATTATGTACAGTATGTAATACTTGATAAGGATAATAAATGAGTGTTACTGGCTTATGTATTTACTATACTTCTTATTGTTATTTCAGAGTGTGCTTTTTATACTTATAAAAAAATGTTAACTGTAAAACATATTCAGGCAGGTCTTTCAGGAAGTATTCCAAACAAAGGCATTGTTATCCTAGAAGATGACAGCTCCATGCATGTTATTATCCCTGAAATCCTTCCAGTGGGACAAGATATGGAAATGGAAGACAGTGATATTGATGATCCTGATGCTGTGTAGGCCTAGGTAATGTCTGTGTTTGTGTGTCAGTTTTTAACAAAAATGTTGGAAAAAGTTAAAAAAATCTTTGAATAACAAAAAGCTTATAGAGTAGTGATATGAAGAAAGAAAATATTTTTGTACAGCTGTACAATGTGTTTGTGTTATAAGCTAAGTGCTATTACAGAAGAGTCAAAAAGTTAAAAAAATAAAAAGTTTGTATCTCTGTTTTGGTACTAGTACAATGCTGTTTTGGTTACTGTAGCCTTGTAGTATAGTTTGAAGTCAGGTAGCATGATACCTCCAGCTTTGTTCTTTTGGCTTAGGACTGACTTGGCAATGCAGGCTCTTTTTTCATTCCGTATGAACTTTAAAGTAGTTTTTTTCCAATTCTGTGAAGAAAGTCATTGGTAGCTTGATGGGGATGGCATTGAATCTATTAATTACCTTGGGCAGTATGGCCATTTTCACGATATTGATTCTTCCTATTCATGAGCATGGAATATTCTTCCATTTGTTTGTATCCTCTTTTATTTTGTTGAGCAGTGGTTTATAATTCTCCTTGAAGAGGTCCTTCACATCCCTTGTAAGTTGGATTCCTAGGTATTTTATTCTCTTTGAAGCAATTGTGAATGGGAGTTCACTCATGATTTGGCTCTCTGTTTGTCTGTTGTTGGTGTATAAGAATGCTTGTGATTTTTGCACATTGATTTTGTATCCTGAGACTTTGCTGAAGTTGCCTATCAGCTTAAGGAGATTTTGGGCTGAGACGATGGGGTTTTCTAAATATACAATCATGTCATCTGCAAAGAGGGACAATTTGACTTCCTCTTTTCCTAACTGAATACCCTTTATTTCTTTCTCCTGCCTGATTGCCCTGGCCAGAACTTCCAACACTATGTTGAATAGGAGTGGTGAGAGAGGGCATCCCTGTCTTGTGCCAGTTTTCAAAGGGAATGCTTCCAGTTTTGCCCATTCAGTATGATATTGGCTGTGGGTTTGTCGTAAATAGCTCTTATTATTTTGACATACGTCCCATCGATACCTAATTTATTGAGAGTTTTTAGCATGAAGGGCTGTTGAATTTTGTCGAAGGCCTTTTCTGCATCCATTGAGATAATCATGTAGTTTTTGTCTTTGGTTCTGTTTATATGCTGGATTACATTTATTGATTTGCATATGTTGAACCAGCCTTGCATCCCAGGGATGAAGCCCACTTCATCGTGGTGGATAAGCTTTTTGATGTGCTGCTGGATTTGGTTTACCAGTATCTTATTGAGGATTTTTGCGTTGATGGTCATCAGGGATATTGGTCTAAAATTCTTTTTTGTTGTGTCTGTGCCAGGCTTTGGTATCAGGATGATGATGGCCTCATAAAATGAGTTAGGGAGGATTCCTTCTTTTTCTATTGATTGGAATAGTTTAGACCAATGGAACAGAACAGAGCCCTCAGAAATAATACCACACATCTACAACCATCTGATCTTTGACAAACCTGACAAAAATGAGAAATAGGGAAAAGATTCCCTATTTAATAAATGGTGCTGGGAAAACTGGCTAGCCATATGTAGAAAGCTGAAACTAGATCCCTTCTTTACACCTTATACAAAAGTTAATTCAAGATGGATTAAAGACTTAAATGTCAGACCTAAAACCATAAAAACCCTAGAAGAAAACCTAGGAATTACCATTCAGGACATAGGCATGGGCAAGGACTTCATGTCTAAAACACCAAAAGCAACGGCAACAAAAGCCAAAATTGACAAATGGGATCTAATTAAACTAAAGAGCTTCTGCACAGTAAGCTCTACCATCAGGGTGAACAGGCAACCTACAGAATGGGAGAAAATTTTTGCAATCTACTCATCTGACAAAGGGCTAATATCCAGAATCTACAAAGAACTTAAACAAATTTACAAGAAAAAATCAACCCCATCAAAAAGTGGGCAAAGGATATGAACAGACACTTCTCAAAAGAAGACATTTATGCAGCCGAAAGACACATGAAAAAATGCTCATCATCACTGGCCATCAGAAAAATGCAAATCAAAACCACAATGAGATACCATCTCACACCAGTTAGAATGGCGATCATTAAAAAGTCAGGAAACAACAGGTGCTGGAGAGGATGTGGAGAAATAGGAACACTTTTACACTGTTGGTGGGACTGTAAACTAGTTCAACCATTGTGGAAGACAGTGTGGCAATTCCTCAGGGATCTAGAACTAGAAATACCATTTGACCCACCCATTCCATTACTGGGTATATACCCAAAGGATTATAAATTATGCTGCTGTAAAGACACATGCACACGTATGTTTATTGCAGCACTATTCACAATAGCAAAGACTTGGAACCAACCCAAATGTCCATCAATGATAGACTGGATTAAGAAAATGTGGCACATATACACCATGGAATACTATGCAGCCATAAAAAAGGATGAGTTCATGTCCTTTGTAGGGACATGGATGAACCTGGATACCATCATTTTGAGCAAACTTTCGCAAGGACAGAAAACCAAAGGCCGCACATTCTCACTCATAGGTGGGAATTGAACAATGAGAACACTTGGACACGGGATGGGGAACACCACACACTGGGGCCTGTTGTGGGCTGGGGGGAGGGGGGAGGGATAGCATTAGGAGATATACCTAATGTAAATGACGAGTTAATGGGTGCAGCACACCAACTTGACACGTGTATTCGTAAATAACAAACCTGCACGTTGTGCACATGTACGCTAGAACTTGAAGTATTAAAAAAAAGTTTATAAAGTAAAAAAGTTACATAAGCTAAGGTCAATTTTTTATTGAAGCAGAAAGATTTTTAAAATAAATTTTTGTAGCCTAAGCATACAGTGCTTATAAAATCTATAGTAGTGTACAATAATGTCCTAGGTCTTCACACTCACCACTTACCCACTGGCTCACCCAGAGCAACTTGAAGTCCCACAAGTTCCATTCATGATAAGTGTCCTGTATAGATGTACTATTTTTTATCTTTTATACTATACTTTTATGGTACCTTTTCTATGTTTAAATGCGTAAATACTTACCATTGTATTGCAGTTCCTTTAAGTATTTAGTACAGTCACATGCTATACAGGTTTGTAGCCAGAAGTGATAGTCTATGCCATGGAGCCTGGGTGTGTGGTAGGCAGGCTTACCATCTAGGTTTATGTAAGTGCAGTGTGTGATGTTTGCATAAGGACAAAATCAACTAATGATGCATTTCTCACAATGTATCCCTGTTGGTAAGTAACACCTGATGGTATATATAAAACACAGTTACATGTGTATTTATTTTATTTTTTGCTTCTTATGTCTCAGGTGCAGACGGTGGAGTTAATCATTCTCCTCAGTTCCTACTTGGTGAATGTTTCATGCATCCGTGTGAAGAGAGTCCACCAAACAGGCTTTGTGTGAGCAACATGGCTGTTTATTTCACCTGGGTGCAGGCAGGCTGTGTCCGAAAAAGGAGTCAGCAAAGGGTGGTGGATTATCATTAGTTCTTATAGGTTTGGGGATAGGCGGTGGAGTTAGGATCAATGTTTTGCAGGCAGGGGGTGGATCTCACAAAGTACATTCTCAAGGGTGGGGAGAATTACAAAGAACCTTCTTAAGGGTGGGGGGGATTACAAAGTACATTGATCAGTTAGGGTGGGGCAGAAATAAATCACAATGGTGGAATGTCATCAGTTAAGGCTATTTTCACTTCTTTTGTGGATCTTCAGTTGCTTCAGGCCATCTGGATATATACGTGTGGGTCACTGGGGATATGATGGCTTAGCTTGGGCTCAGAGGCCTGACAGTGAATTTGTCATTTATCCTTCAATTTTCATCTCAATACAGAGGCTTTACCTCCATGTAGCCTAACTGAACAACTGCAAGAACAGGGCCTTGTCCCATCGCTGCCCCATGGACATACCTAACATGATATATTACATTACTGCATCTCTTTAGGTCTTTACCTCTCAACTGAACCCTGAACTCCTGGAGAATAGATGCTGTCGGGAAATCACCAGCTTCTCACAAAGCAATGATCGTTGAATAAATCCTTGTTAAATAATGACAGTTTTCCTTTTTGGATTGCTGTGATCTCTACTCCCATCACGACTGCTAAGCCTTGGGCAGGAGACCTTGTATTCCCAGCCAGCTATTCTTCCCACCGCCATCCGTGAGTATTGGATGAAAGTAGCCAGGGCCGGGAAGAAACATGGGGATAGTAGTGTCTGAAAACTTCCCACTAAAGCATTTCCTGTCCTACTTCCTGCCAGTTCCTTTTGCCCAATTAGAACTGAAAAGGGATATGGTATGTATATATACCCCATATCAGTATATCATCATCATATATATAGATATATATAGATATAGATATATCTCAATTCCCCCAGATGCTAGGTAGTATGGATATAATCCTGCCAAAATAGGCTTCCTCCAACCTTTGCTTCAAATCAAGGCACCAGTCTTTGGAGCGCACTAGTAGGTACTAGGAACAAGAGATGAAAAAGTTGGTCACAGTTGGTCCTGTACATGTCCTTATATTTCCTTCCAGTCTGAAATGTGAGTGTGAAAATACACTATTTTTTAGACAAAATGTTTGTAATAGTTTCTTCTAGCCTGTGCCTAACTCAAGTTTTTTATTTCTCTTCTCCACATCTCTGTCCATGAGAATTTGTAATAATAGCTAAACAGTTTTTTTTAATATTATAGTTTTTTTTTTTTTAAGTACAGAACCAAAACATAGGGGAAAAAGACCATTTTCTCCAAGGAGATGAAGAAAGAATAATAGTTGAAATAGAAATATCAGTAAAATTTAGACCTTTGAAAGATGAGGAAGAGATGGTTTCAGAAACAATAGGATGGTTATCTATTAAATGTTTCTGAGAAATCAAGTAATATATATTACTGAAAAGTATACATTGGATTTATCAACAGAGAGGTTATAGGTGACTGTGGCAAAAGCTATTTTGGTGGATTGGTTGAGGCAGAAGCCAGATTTCGGTGGTTCGATAGGAGAGTGTAAAAGTGAAAGAAGAATTAGGGAGTAAATGCAGTCTTAGGATAGTCAGTAGCCCAGCAGTGACCTTGAATTGATAGTGGCAACAATCTGAATGGCTGTGTATCTCTTACAGGAGGACTCAATGGTAGGAGGGTCCTGTAGATTAGATAAAAAGCCACAAACATCTCAGTAACCTCAAGGTAAACAATTATGATCACATAAGTTGTTTAGAGAATTTGACCCTTAAAATACCTAGGATCTTCAAAAATAGATTATGTTCCTTGCATTTTGTTTGAAATATCAGAAATATGTTTAATATATTCATAAAGTTGGTCTGAAAATTTATTTCAGTGTTGAAGGGTCTACATATCTTTTTTGTTTGTGTTTTAGAAAATTCACTTCTGTGAATTATCCTATTTCTCAGTAATGACATATGAGATGATAGTATATAGTAGTCATAAAAATCATGCAAACAGCAACATGACATACTATTATTATAGTAATAAAAATATTAGAAAGCACAATATGACACTCCTTAGGGAGTTTTCATTTCAGATGCTTTCTTAACTATTTATTTTATTAAACTTTTTTTCAAGAAGAGGTCTCACCCTGTCACCCTATCTGGAGTGCAGTGGTGCAATCTTGGCTCACTGCAACCTCCACCTCCCAGGCTCAAGAGAGTCTCCCACCTAAGCTTCCTGAGTAGCTAGAACCACAGGCACACGCCACCATGCCTGAATAATTTTTTTGTATTTTTGGTAGAGATGGGATTTCACCATTTTGCCCAGGCTGGTCTCGAACTCCTGAGCTCAAGCAATCTGCCCACCTCGGACTCCCAGAGTGCTGGGATTACAGGCATGAGCCATCACACAGAGCCTAAACTTCTAATCTTGAAAAACTTCCAGACCTCAGAAAAATTACAAGAATATAACAATTAACATGTAAATACCTTTCACCGAGATTTTTCCACATTTGCCACATCTCTTTCTCTCTTTATATCATATATAGTTCTAGTATATTAATACACATAATGTTTTTCACCCTTTTGTTTGTTTGTTTTTAGAAACTGGGTCTCACTGTGTTGCCCAGGCTGGAGTGCATTTGAACACTCATAGCTCACTGCACCCTTGACCTTCTGGGCTTAAGCAATCCTCCCACCTCAGATTCCTGAGTAACTAGGACTACAGGTGTTTGTAATCACACCTGGCTAATATTTTTCTAATTTTTAAAATTTTAATCTTCTTTGTAGGTAGTTGGTCTCACTATGTTGTGCAGGCTGGCCTCAAACTCCTGGGCTCAAGGGATCTTCTCATCTCATCCTTCCAAAGGGCTGCGATTACAAGTGTGAGCCACTGCGCTGAGCTTGTTTTTTATTCTTCTTGTCACTTTTTTTCCCTCAACCAACTGAAAGAAGGTTACAGATATTATAACATTTTATCCCTAACTACTTCAGTGTCTGTCTCCTGAGAACAAGGACAATTTCTTATATAACCATGTTGCAATTATCAAATTCAGAAAATCGAATATGGATACAATACTATCTAATACAGTCCAAATTGAAATTTTGGCAATTGTTCTAGAAATGTCTTTTGCAAAAGCAATGTGTTTCTTTGTAATCCAAAATCCAAGCTACAATTACATACTCAATTTACTTTTTGTGCTTCTTTAGTTTTCTTTACAAGGGTTTCTCAGCTTTTCTTTGCTTTTCATGACTGTGACTTTTTGAAGCATGCAGCCTGTTGTTTTGTAGAAGACATTTTATTTTTTAACTTTTATTTTAGGTTTTGGGGTACATGTGAAGCTTTAGGTAAACTCATGTCGTGTGGGTTTGTTGTACAGATTATTTTATCACCCGGGTATTAAGCCTAGTACCCAACAGTTATTTTGTCTTCTCCTCTCTCTCCTCCCACCCTCCACCTTCCACTCTCAGGTAGATCCCAGTGTTTGTTGTTCCCTTCTTTATGTTCATGAGTGCTCATCATTTAGCTCCCACTAATAAGTGAGAACATGCGGTATTTGGTTTTCTGTTCCTGCATTAGTTTGCTAAGGATAATGGACTCTAGCTCCATTCATCTTCCTGCAAAAGACATGATCTTATCTTTTTTTAATGGCTGCATAGTATTCCACAGTGTATATGGACCACATTTTCTTTATCCAGTCTGCCATTGATGGGCATTTAGGTTGATTTCATGTCTTTGTTATTGTGAATAGTGCTGCAATGAACATACATGTGCATGTATCTTTATGGTAGAATGATTTATAGTCCTCTGGATATATGCCCAGTAATGGGATTGCTGGGTTGAATGGTAGTTCTGCTTTTAGCTCTTTGAGGAATCACCATACTGCTTTTCACAATGATTGAACTAATTTACACTCCCACCAACAGTGAATAAGTGTTTCCTTTTATCCACAAGCAACCTCACCAGCACCTGTTACTTTTTGACTTTTTTTTTTTTTTTTTTTGAGACGGAGTCTTACTCTGTCGCCCAGCCAGGAGTGCAGTGGCACGATCTCGGCTCACTGCAACCCCCGCCTCCCAGGTTCAAGCGATTCTCCTGCCTCAGTCTCCCAAGTAGCTGGGATTACAGGCACCACCACCACCTTTGGCTATTTTTTTTTTTTTTTTAGTAGAGACAGGGTTTCACCATCTTGGCCAGTCTAGTCTTGAACTCCTAACCTGGTGATCCACCTGCCTTGGCCTCCCAAAGTGATGGGATTACAGGCATGAGCCACTGCGCCTGGCCTTGACTTTTAATTAATAGCCATTCTGACTAATGATATGGTATCTCAGTGTGGTTTTGATTTGCATTTCTCTAATGATCAGTGATACTGGTCTGTTTTTCATATGTTTGTGGGCTGAATGTATGTCTTCTTTCGAAAAGTGTCTGTTCACGTCCCTTGCCCCCTTTTAAATGGGATTTCTTGTTTCTCTTTTTGTAAATTTGTTTAAGTTCCCTGTAGATGTTGGGTATCAGACCTTTGTCAGATGCATATTTTGCAAAAATTTTCTTCCATTCTATAGGTTGTCTGTTTACTCTGTTGACAGTTTCTTTTGCTGTGCAGAAGCTCTTTAGTTTAATTAGATCTCATTTGCCAATTTTTGCTTTTGTTGTCGTTGCTTTTGGCATCTTTGTCGTGAAATCTTTGCCCGTTCCTGTGTCCAGAGTGGTATTCCCTTCCAGGATCTTCCAGGGTTTTTATAGTTTTAGGTTTTACATTTAAGTCTTTAATCCATCTTGAGTTGATTTTTACATATGGCATAAAGAAGGGGCCCAACTTCAATACTCTGCGTAAGGCTAGCCAGTTATCCCAGCACCATTTATTTAAAAGGGAGTCTTTTCCTCATTGCTTGTTTTTGTCAGCTTTTTTGAAAATCAGATGGTCATAGGTGGACCTTATTTCTGGACACTATTTTGTTTCATGGGACT
The DNA here is from genome assembly GCF_000001405.40 of Homo sapiens. Lineage (NCBI taxonomy): Eukaryota > Metazoa > Chordata > Mammalia > Primates > Hominidae > Homo > Homo sapiens. The sequence goes on along the minus strand of NC_000004.12, from coordinate 84,533,830 downwards.
ATGTGTCTATTTCTGTACCAGTACCATGCTGTTTTGGTTACTGTAGCCCTGTGATATAGTTTGAAATCAGGTAACATGATGCCTCCAGCTTTGCTCTCTTTGCTTAGGATTGCGCTGGCTACTCAGGTTCTTTTTTGAATCCATATGAACTTTAAAATAGTTTTTTCTAGTTCTGTGAAAAATGTCATTTGTAGTTGAATAGGAATAGCATTGAATCTATAAATTACTTTGAGCAGTTTGGCCATTTTAATAATATTGATTCTTCCTATCCATGAGCATGGGATTTTTTCCATTTGTTTGTGTCTTCTCTGATTTCTTTGAGCAGTGTTTTGAGATTCTCGTTGTAGCAATCTTTCACTTGCCTGGTTAGCTGTATTCCTAGGTATTTTATTCTTTTTGTGGCAATTGTGAATGGGATTGCCTTTCTGATTTGGCTCTCAGCTTGGCTGTTGTTGGTATATAGGAATGCTAGTGATTTTTGTATTTTGATTTTGTATCCTGAAACTTTGCTGAAGTTGTTTATCAGCTTAAGGAGCTATTTGGCCAAGACTATGGGGTTTTCTAGATATAGAATCATGTCATCTGCAAACAGGGATAGTTTGACTTCCTCTCTTTCTATTTGGGTGCCTTTTATTTCATTCTCTTGCCTGATGCTCCAGCTAGGACTTCCAATGCTATGTTGAATAGAGGTGGTGAGAGAGGACATCTTTGTTTTGTGCTGGTTTTCAAGAGGAATGCTTCCAGCTCTTGCCCATTCAGTATGATGTTGAAAAGACATTTTATAGGTTTTTAAATTGGGAAGAGCATCAGTACAGGGTCAAAAAGCTGGGATTCTAATTGGTGAACCACCACAAATTAGCTGGCGGTCATTTGCCTTCTCCAAATCAGTTTTCTTATCTTTAAAATAGAAATGTTGTCTGTCCTGACTGTCTCAGAGTTCTTTGGAAGATAAAATGATAAAACAGGTAAGAAATTACTTTAAAACTGCAAAGCAATTTAGAAAATGAAAGGCTTTACTTTAAGTTGTGAGTCGATGCTATAGATTTTAAAATGTTATCAGTTGTAAGTGTTGTTCATTCCGATAGAATACCATTCTGTTTTCCCTTCTTTCTCTTCCTCCTTCCTCTTCTTTCTGTCTTTCTCTACACACACAAACCCTTACCTCTAGTATTCCTAGAACGCAACGTAACAACATATTGCCAAAAGCTAAGTAGCAGGAGGAAAAATTAACATGTGGAATGTTTCAATATTTTTAGCCATATCATTAGAGTCATATTACCTAGTGCTTAATTGGTGACTCTGTTCTCAGGAGTGGTGAATGTAAGATATAAAATTATAATGCTGCAAGGGACCTTTAAAAATTTCTGAGGCCCAGTGCAGTGGCTCTCGTCTGTAATCCCAGCACTTCAGGAGGCCAAAGCGGGAGGATCACTTGAGCCCAAGAGTTCGAGACCAGGCTGGGCAACACAGGGAGACCCTGTCTCTATAAAAAATAAATTAGCTGAGTTTTGTTGCATGCAGCTGTAGTCCCTGCTACTTGGGAGGCTGAGGTGGGAGTATCAGTTGAGTCCAGAAGGTCAAGGCTGCAGTGAGCTGTGATCATGCCACTGCACTCTAGTCTGGGTGGCAGAGTGAGACAGGGTCTCTCTGCATCCTACACCCAGACTCACTCTGCACCCAGACTAGAGTGCAGTGGCATGATCACAACAACAACAATAAAACAACAACAACAAAAAGAAAAATTCTAGATCAGAGTGTTCACCTCCAGAGGTAATGAGTTGCCCAAGCCACACAGCTAATCTGCAGAATCAGGATGAGACATGCAGACTCTGTCTCCTGGTCCAGTGCCCTTTACCTCACCCTCATTTCCTGAGTTTATCCTGCCCCAGGGAGCCAGTCAATTCATTAAAAGAATGTAGTCTGTGGGGATAAATCTGGTGAGGATCAGTTTGGTCATCTAACCCTAGAGGCATTTGAAAGAAAGGGTGAATGAACAGGTCATGCGGAGTGAGAGGGTTGAGAGCAGGTGGCTGCTTCCAGGCCCCTCTCCTGCCACTCACCTAGGAGGCTGTACCAGGAGGCGGGTGGAGCTGCTCTGCCATGGGAGGAATTTCTACTTTATTTACATAGAAAACTTTATTTGGAAACAATTTTAAACTTGCATAAAAATTGAAAAAATAAAAATAGTACAGAAAACATTCAAATGTTCTTTACCCAAATTCATCTATTAGCAGTATGCCCCATGAATTTTATCATTTGCATGCTCGCTCTCTCTCTCTCTTAAATTGTGGTAAAATACGGTTACCATCTGAACTACTTTTAAGGGTACTGTTCAGTAGTATGAAGTACATTCACATTGTTGTGCCACCATTGTCTATCCACAGAACTCTTTGCATCTTGCAAAATTGAAACTCCATAGCCTTAAACCATACACACACACAAACACACACACACACATCTTTTTCGAACCATTGATAGTTAATTACCTGATGATTTCCCCCTAGATACTTCAGTGTATATTTTCTATTTTATTTTATTTTATATTTTTTCAGACAAGGTCTTGCTCTGTTGCCCAGCCTGGAGTGCAGTGGTATGACCATAGCTCACTGCAGCCTCAAACTCCTGGGCTTATGTGATCCTCCAGCCTCAGCTTTGCCTAAGCTGATCTTAAACTCCTGGCCTCAAGTGATCCTCCCACCTTGGCCTCATGAAGTGCTGGGATTACAGGGGTGAGTCACCACTCCTGGCCTTCAGTGTATATTTTATAGGAATAGAGATATTATCTTACTTAACCCCAGCACAGTGATCAAGTTCAGTGAATTTACAATGATGTAGTAGTTTTGTATAATCTACTGTTCATATTTCAGTTTTGTCAGTTGACCTAACAGCTCTTTCTAGCATTTTTACCCCTCCAGTGTGTAATTAAGCCTGGAAACAAATAATGCATTTAGTTGTCACGTTTGTTTAGCTCCTTTAATCTGGATTATTTCCATAGCTTTTCTTTGTCTTATGATTTTGACAGTTTTCAAGATTATACTTCCCCCTTTAACTAAGCAGAATATTCATCACTTGGGTTTTTCTGCTGTTTTCTTGTGGTTGCAGTCAGATTACACATTCTTGATAAGAACAGTACATGTGTGACATGCTCATCTCAAGGCTTCACATCTGCAGGCACGTGATGCCCATCTGTTTCTTGTTAGTGATGTTACATGAGGCCACCAGATCAAAGGGTTGTCTTATTTCTCCACTGTATAATTACTATTTTATTTTTCCCCCTTCCAACTAAGAAGTGATAGGTGGGAAGATATCTTAAGATCATGCAAATATCTGATTCCTCATCAGAATTTCTCTCTAGATTTGGAATCTATTAATGTTTCTTGCCTTATCCAATCTCACTATGATTGCAAAATGATTATTTTTAAATCCCTGCATTCCCTCCACATTTACCAGTCTGCCCTCAGGAAGAGCCCTCCCTGTCAGCAAGAGCCCTCCCTTCTTCTTATGTCTCTCTCTCTCTCACCTATCTATCTAATGTTAGTATGAACTTATGAGTTCTTAATTTTTCAATGATTTATAATTAATCATGCTAGTGCTCAAATTGTCATAGGTTTGGCCAGGAGAAGTCTCTTCAATCTGGGCACCTGTGTCTTTGTGACTCGCTCCTTTTTTTTTTTTTTTTTTTTTTTTTGAGTACTTTCTCACTTTCTGACTTAAGCTGTTTTAGGCACATCTTGTATCCCTCTTGCCTCAACTCTGGAATTGGTTACCACTACTTCTGAACTGGGTGGCAGCTACAGACAGAGGTGAGTATGCAGAAAAGAGGAATTGCAACACCAGGGCAGGAAGACTTTGGGCCTTTCTGTGATATAAGCAGAGTGGATAAATAATGCAATAATCTGGCAAACAGATTTGCTATTATAAAAAAAACAGATTTGGGACCTAAGTAATTTTGTGGCTTCATCAACAGAATAGAATAGTGGCTTGGAGTGTGAACTCTGGAGTCAGACAACCTGGATTCAAATTTCAGCTCTGTCACTTGCTAGCTGTATGTCCTTAGGCCAGACTTAGTTTCTTTATCTGTAACATGAAATTAGTAATGGTATTAATATCCTAAAGTAATACAAGGATCACATTAAACAACCCATATAAGTGCTTAGCAAAATATATGGCACATATTAACTGCTAATGAATCACAGTTATTATTATCAATTGTATTTGCCGAATTCTATGTTCTTTTTCATTTTTCCCATTTTACGTTAAATGAAAAACAACACCATTCTTTTCTAGTTGAAAACCATTCTGCTGATAGGGTTAATTTTTGTGAGTATATCTGGGGCTGAAATGACCATTTGGTGACATAACTTTTGTTTACAGCCATGATAGAAAATTTCTAGGTAACAAAACCAAGTATTGGAATTAATAACCCTAAAAGGTGTTCAGGAAACAATAGTGAGAATGCTCACTAGGGGGAGCTATTATAACAAATTATGTGGTGCTCCTTTTCAATATACTGCCTTTTTGCAAACTTCATAGTTTATTCATAATCTACCTTTGCTGTGAAGTGAAAATTGGTAAGTATTATGGTGTACTTTCATGCATACTATAAATATGAAAGCTGACTGTTTGAAAAGATAAAGATTAATATAATCTGGTGAGAACAAATGCTTACTAAATTTTGAAAACTGCACTAAAGTCTCATTTTGTCTTGGCCAAAAGGATTGTATAAAAATTGTAAGAGCCAACTTAATCAGTAGGGGTATATAGTGAATAAAGTCTATTAAACACATTAAATAGTGAAAGAAGAACCAGCCATTTAAAATAGTTGACAACATTTTCTGAAGCGACTGTAGAAAGTGAAATAAAGAGAAATGAAATGTAAAAGCACAGTTGACCTTTGAATAACACAGGTTTAAATTGTGTGGGTTCACTTATACAAAGATTTTTTTCAACCAAGTGCAGACTCAAGATACAGTAATTGCTGGATGTGAAACCTGCACACATGGAGGGCTGACTTTTTCCGCAAATTCCGCTGGGCCCATTTTGCGACTTGAGTGTGCTAGGATTTTGGTATATGCAGGGGTCCTAGAAACAATCCCCCATGTATATGGAGGGATGACTGCCGTTCTCCCAAATCTTGCTCCACCAGAAGGACAGGAGCTTTAACAGAAAAGCAGTAGCTTTGAATCAGATGTAATCTAGCAATTTGGGTATGACATAACAGCAGGGGAAAGCATCTAGTCTGGTCGTAGGATAGTCTGGGTTCGGGAACCTCCCTTCTTGCTGCATGATGCCAGGCAAGTCGTTCAGCCTCTCTTGGCTCACCTCTGTTAGGAGGGGTTTGGAGTGCAAAGCCTCTTTTTAGTTCTGACACTCTGTGATGCTGATGGTAAAAAGCAGTAAATTGGTTTAAGGTAGCTATTTGCTTAACTTTTAGGTGTTCCTTGTTTGCTTCAGCCAAAGTTTTCCTAGCACCCAGAATCAGAGTTATAATTTATGTATGCAAAAATTTCTAACAAGCATGTAATTGATTTTTTTTTTTTTGGTTTGGTTCTTTTTTTTTTTTAGGTGGTAAGGGAGTAATTGCTTAGGATTGGACTGAGCTGAAGAATGTTTAGCCTGGCGGTACTAGTGCAACTGGAAGAACAGATGAACCATAGTTTGCAACACAAAGCCAAGTCAACCAACAGAAGAAATATATATTTTAAGAAGATTTTATATTTTCAACTGAAAACGTTCATGTCAGTTGTGAATGTATTTGTAATTGGCAGCCCCAAATCATCTCCCTTTTTATTTTTGAGAAAGTGTAGTGTGCTTTAGTATTTGGAACATTCATTTAAACCTATTAAATTATATTTTAAAATGCACTGTTCCCATTTCAATCAAAATTGGTTTTATACTATATATTGTAACACTAAAGTGCTTCTGGTAATTTGCTTGTAAAACCAAAACTCTTTTAAATTTATCCACTTGTCCCTTTCAGAAATGACGTGTTTGTGCATAGGACTTGTTAGTATTCTGATTCAAACAAAACTACAGTACATGTAAAAACATATTTATAGAACATAAATAAGAAAATGTGAACCCTGAAGAATATTTGATGGAACTAATGGACTATTCTAATTTTTATGTGTGAAAATGATAATGTGATTTTTTAAAAGAGTCCTTCTTTTTTAGACATGCACACTGAAATAATTATAGATGAAATTATGCAATGTCTGTGATTTGTTTCAAAATAGTCTGGTGCTTAGGGAGAGAGAAGTGGGTGGGGAGAGAGATGAAATAAGCTTAGTTATGAGTTGGTAATTGTTGAAGCTGGGTCCTATATATATATGGGGGTAAGGTCATATTCTATTCTACTTTTGCATAGATTTGAAATTTTTCATAATAAA